>NC_000007.14:148094743-148246258 GCF_000001405.40 Homo sapiens
GGCTGAGCGCAATGAGTTTGGTTTTAGACTTGCTCTTGCAAGCTTCTGGTAGGAAATCTTAATAGTTAAGCACGTTCTGATAGAATTTTGGCACTTGGCTCTAGGAAGGACCCTGATTAGACATAGATGGAGCTATCAATGGGAAGATAGTTGAGATCACATAGATAAATGATACACAGAGAGAAGAGCACAGTGGCATAGTGGAGCTCAGAGGAATGTAAATATTTAAGAGATAATAAGAGGCAGTGGAACCAATGAAATGATGAACCGAGAGTAAAGTAGAAAGATGATGAGAGAGAATAACGTCCTGAAAGTTAAATGAGCTTGAGTCAACAAGCACAGAAATCAGGGCTACAGGCTACATGCCAAGCCTCTGAACTTCCTCCGTCCTGGACCATGGACCAAGCTCAGTCCTGTTTTCCCCAGAGACCCACAGAAACGCCAGTTTGCCTCCTAGTGTAACCCTGCAAAGAAAGCAATGTCGTTCTGCATCAATGCTGATGAGCCTGCGCTGTTCAGTATCTGTGGGGCTTGCCAAGCTACTCCTGCTCATGGAAACCTCAGTCAGGAGCGAGGATTCCTTGGCAGATCGTCCCTGTGTTCTCTGCATGAGGTCTCTGATCTGGCTGCACCAATAACAAGAACTAATGTCATGTTTACCCTTCACAAAGTTCAAAATAACGGTACTTCGAAATTAGCCAGGCTTCTAATAAGCAGTCTGAGAAGTACACAGACTCCAAAACAGTGTTTGCAGAGCTTCTGTAGAAAAGATCATCTGCATCAGAGGCAGCTGAGATCCTAATGAAAAAGAACTGCAAGACTGAGTGATTGGAAATAGCTAGGGTTATGGCTCAGCAAGCTGCCTTTTCAGCAAGCCTTGCAGATGATTCTGATGCTCACCAAAGTTTGTGAGCCACTGATGACTACAGAAATAGAATATCAGGCTGAAACACACAAAAAGAGCACCATCGGGGAAAAATAATATGAAGAAAATACTACATTTTTAGTCCTGGTCCCTAATCCTTCAAAGAGTTGTTATGCTTTGTGGAAACTAATCAGGTCTAGTCTCCCACCTTTCAAATTATTTCTGTTAAAATGTTCTCCCCTCCTGCCCAGAATTTTCTAATACACAGTGGAATGCTTTATTGCTCTCTTTAAGCATGTCAACTAGAGCAGGAGAAAAGTTTCCCATGTATTTTCTTCAAAGAAAAAGATGTTTAAAGTTTAATATTAAAAGAAAGAGTCATGAAGTAGTTTAACATTTTTTTCACAGGGCGCAGAGAGTTGCTTCTGCATGGTTATTTTTACTAAGTACTTTCCAATTTATACTTTATTTTTCTCAAGTATAAAAATGGATCTTCCTACTTAAAAACACCAATGTCCAACTTCATGGTCAAATGTAAACTTTGGAAATTATTACTTGATTTCTGTTAGTGGAGGAATTAGAAGAGTTTTTGTTCCACTATGTTATTCCAACCTCATCTCCTCGTTTGTCAAGATTCTTAAGCTGAACGTTTTTCTGCGTGCATGCATGCATGTGTGTGTGTGTGTGTGTGTGTGTGTGTGTGTGTGGTCACAGTGAAACATAGATTAAGGCTGAGAAGTAACAACCAGCTAATTATTATAAGTATAGATATAGGCCATGGATATTAAAGTACCCCCATTTTGTGTTGATACATGAAATCATAGAAATTTCATGTATCATAGAGATTAATCACATAGAGATTAATTTAGACCATAAAAACATTTCAATTTTCAGGAATCCCTTATTAAAATAATTTTTGAAAAAACAGGGGTGAATATTCATGAAGCCACCACGTCATAAAGGTTTGGTTGATGAATAGTGAGAGTAGGGGTGAATAGAGGTAAAGCAGGAGACACATTGGCAAGGTCAGGGCTGCAAGAGACAGGAGAGCATCGAAACCAAACCCCACCTTCCCACACTCCTAAAGACTGTCCAGTGAGTAATTTTCCCATTTATACAAGAGCCTGGTCTATGAAGGCAAATAAAATGGAAGGATTTACCCTCACTGGGCATTGAAGCACAAACCTTGCCCAAGGCCCTGTCCCGAGCAAAAGAGCTTCCCTACTGGGAAAGATCAAGATCTTAATATCCCTTAATATAACTCAAATAATCATTAGCCAACCTGAGAGAAGAGGACAGGCTCTGAGTCTGAGGAGAAGGGTTGGAAGGGTCTGGTTAGTGCCTGACCTTCCTATAATATAAAGCTACTTGGAGATATTAGAGCTAGTGAATGCCTTCTCCCAGCCAAATCCATGCTCCAGGAATGGGCACAGAGTTGCAAACTAAAGATCAATTGTTCATCGTGGTACATGTCTTTGTGAGGTATTATGGGACAAACTTCAGTTCATATGGGAAAACCGAACCCTTCCCACGTGGTCCGTGAAAACCCAGTTGCACATTTTCAGACAACTTCTTTATGAGTACAGGGCATTAGGAAGTTGAACCAGCCCGGCCAATTTAGAACAACTGGTCTCTTTAACATGAGCATTCCCCGTCAGTGCTACCAAACTCCTTTCCATGTGTCCCATGCAACCAGAAAATGTGTTGTTTAAATTCAGCTCGTGTCATTTGTAAAAAAAAAAAAAAAAAAAAAACCATAAAAAATAAAAATAAAAATAAAAAAATTAAATAGTTTGACAAGATAAATCAGGGACTTTGGAATAAAGAGTTAGTAATATGTTGAGTAGTTTGTCACATGATATCATTTTTAAGCTACTCTTTTTTGGGGGGGCGGGGCACGGAGTCTTGCTCTGTCGCCCAGGCTGGAGTGCAGTGGCGCGATCTTGGCTCACTGCAAGCTCTGCCTCCCGGGTTCACACCAATCTCCTGCCTCAGCCTCCTGAGTAGCTGGAAGCTACTCTTTCTAAATAACTTCAACAAATATTACTGATGTGATAACAAGGCTTGATTTCATCAAGCAGTAACTCTGTCTCCATGTGGATAGCGGTCTTTTGAAGCCCTCCTCGGCTGTTAGAGTGCATAACCCACAGCTCTCAAACTGGTGGAGACAAGGTGGTATGTTTGACTAATTCAGTGACGTTCGGTAAGCACCTACTATGTGCCCAGCAAGGTGTCAAAAACAGAGCAAAGAACAAAATAGGCAAAGTGATTGTATATATCACTTTTTATCCTAGGTCAGGATAAGCAAGCAGTACATAAATTTTTAAAACAGGTATTTTAGGTAGTGATACATGCTATAAAAATTACATGGATAGAGAATGACCAAAGATGACTAGATTGAATTTACCACTTCTTTGAGTAGGTGGCAGTGGTTCAAGTTGGTGACTGAGTTCTAAACGATGGGAAAAAGACAGCCCTGCAGTGGTATGTGGGAAGTGTTCTGGGCAGAAAACATGTTCTGAAGCTGGAACAAGCTTGGTACTTTAAAGAAAAGAGGCTGGGCGCAGTGGCTCACGCCTGTAGTCCCAGCACTTTGGGAGGCTGAGGAGGGCAGATCATGAGGTCAGGAGATCGAGACCATCCTGGCAAACATGGTGAAACCCCACCTCTACTAAAAATACAAAAATTAGCTGAGTGTGGTGGCACACGCCTGTAGTCCCAGCTACTCGGGAGGCTGAGGCAGGAGAATCGCTTGAATCCAGGAGGCAGAGGTTGCTTTGAGCCAAGATCACGCCACTGCACTCCAGCTTGGTGACAGAGCGAGACTCTGTCTCAGAAAAAAAAAAAAAAAAAAAAAAAAAGCATGCTTGTGTGACTGGAGCCTAATAAGCAAGTGAGAGAATAGAATTGGATGATTTCAGAGGCAGAGACAAAATATAAGGAGGTCCTAGCTGGGCACAGTGGTGTGCATCATAGTTCCAGCAACTCAGGAGGCTGAGCAAGGAGGATCACTTGAGCCCAGGAGTTTGAGTCCAGCCTAGGTAAGATAGACCCCATCTCTTTAAAAAAATTTTTTAAATTTTCATTAAAATAAATATAAGGTCTTTACGTGCTATGTATTCCATGAAGTCCAGAGCTATGAATGCCATAGAGTAGGTTCTCAGTAAACATATGAGACAAAATATGGCTGAGGGTGACCTTAGATCAGGCTTTCTGAATCTTACAGAAAAATCTTCTTTTGAATCTCTTTTAGCTGAACTTTGAAGAGAAGGATAAAGTAGCATCTGTTTCAGGTGCCAGGGAAGCCCAGAATAAAAGGCTCAGGATGACACAGCCGCATCAACATCCAGTGTTTATTGGCCATCTGTCCCCTAGGAATGTCTTAAGAGCTCATGCTCTATTTACGAGAACAGCCGGGGACAGTGAGAGGAAGGAAGAAATTGCTTTATAAAAAAGAGTAGCTGCATTCTTTTGTGTGTGGAAAGAGCACTATTGTGGAAGCGACGAAACCCAGGTGTGTAAAAATAGAACCGAGTGTTCACATTAAACTTTCCGTGCCTCAGTTTCCCCACATGAAAAGTGGACATAATAACAGCACTTGAGTGAGAATTAATTGAGATAAAACCTGTGTTGAAATACTGCTTAGAACATGGGAAGGGTCTGAGCTACTATTTATTAATAATGCCATTATCATAGATTTTAGCTACATTTATTAATAACTCCATGAATTTAGAATGTTAATGGAATAAGGATTGGAGAAGAAAAATTTGCTATGGCCAGTGAGAATTCCTTGCAAGAAAAAAGCATTGCAATTGTGTGTGTGTGTGTGTGTGTGTGTGTGTGTGTGTGTGTTGGATATGGGCAGTTGTAGTGTGGAACACCTCAGCAGCACCCAGGCCTCACTTGTGGATGGTACAACCTCAGGAAACTTACTCTTCCTCAGTATAAATGAGAAGGTCCCCTTTTCCCCCAATGGCTGCAGTGTTGGTCTAGGATGAGGTCTTCTCTACCCTCATCTGCGTAGTTCCAGGATGGACTTTCTCCTCAAAATCACAGTCCAATAAACAAAAGTAATGAAAAGGGTCTAACTTCCGTTTGTATCTCATGAGGAGCATCAAAAACCAGTTAGTTCCTAGCATAGCACACAGCACTCTTGAATTCTTTCAGCCATTCCCAGGGCCCTCGCTTCTCTACCCTGCCCCTCCCATCCCTGTCAGGTCCTGAGCTCCTCCTTGCTCCTCCCTCCTTTTTTTTTTTTGGTTTTTTTTTTTTTTTTTTTTTTGAGACGGAGTCTCACTCTGTCACCCAGACTTGAGTGCAATGTCACAGTCTTGGGTCACTGCAACCTCTGCCTCCTGGGTTTAAGCAATTCTCTGCCTCAGCCTTCTGAATAGCTGGGATTACAGACATATGCCACCATGCCTGGCTAATTTTTGTATTTTTAGTAGAGACGGGGTTTCACCATCTTGGCCAGGCTGGTCTTGAACTCCTTCCCTCATGATCCACTCGCCTCAGCCTCCCAAAGTGCTGGGATTACAGGTGTGAGACACCGCGCCCGGCCACGCTCCTCCCTCTTTTGAAGACTTGTTGGACTCTTGTCTTTCCTTCTCCTTCCTCTTTCCTTTTCCTTTTGTTCTGTCTAAACTCCTACAGAACAAATAAATCAATGAACGAAACACCTAGGTCCTTCCCAGTGTGAATCCTTTCCATTACCATCCACAAAGGTGACCACCATTAAAGCTGTGTGTGAAGGCTTCTAGACATTAGTCCTTTATTCTGAGTTTAAGCAAATACACACACATACAGATGCATGTATGCATATGCGTGTATGTGCATATTATATATGTGGGGTATATACACATATCTTTGTATCAGGCACATAAACAATGCACACATACTTAATAGGTTTGTGCAAAAAAACTGCAATTACTTTTGCACCAACCTAATATTACTATAATAAAATGGAGCTGTGATATACATTTTATTCTGAAAATAGCTTGTCCCTTAACAACATACAATGGACAATTTACATAGATCGATTTTATGGTTTATGCCACATTATGTCACATTTTTTGTCCAAATGAATGCATGTTTCTTCAAATACATACAGTAATAAATGTATACATTGTGGTTACTTCCATTTTTTGCTATTTGAAACTCTTTATAAACATTTATATACCCAAAGGATTATAAATCATGCTGCTATAAAGACACATGCACACGTATGTTTATAGCGGCACTATTCACAACAGCAAAGACTTGGAACCAACCTAAATGTCCAACAATGATAGACTGGATTAAGAAAATGTGGCACATATACACCATGGAATACTATGCAGTCATAAAAAATGAAGAGTTCATGTCCTTTGTAGGGACATGGATGAAACTGGAAACCATCATTCTCAGCAAACTATTGCAAGGACTAAAAACCAAACACCACCGCATGTTCTCACTCATAGGTGGGAATTGAACAATGAGAACACATGGACACAGGAAAGGGAACATCACACACCGGGGACTGTTGTGGGGTGGGGGGAGGGGGGAGGGATAGCATTAGGAGTAATACCTAATGCTAAATGACGAGTTCATGGGTGCAGCACACCAGCATGGCACATGTATACATATGTAACTAACCTGAACATTGTACACATGTACTCTAAAACTTGAAGTATTATAATAATAAAATTAAAAAACAAACAAACAAATCACTCACACCATGGAAGCACAAAACTAAAAAGTTCAGTGTGTGTGTGTGTGTGTGTGTGTGTGTGTGTGTGTGTGTGTGGTGTTCTACTTGAGGTAGAAGGTAAAAGATTAAGGAGAAAACCAAGTGGATTGAAATCTGCAATAAAGCGACCATTCTCCAGTACTAAATGCACTTGAAATTTATTCCCCTGCATCTGTAGGTAAATGTCCTTCTGTTCTTGAAACAATAAATCCCCATAAACTTCCCATAAAGTTCTGCAGAAGTGAAATGTGAGATTGGTTCCCTTGGAATCCATTCAGTGCTTTGTTTGTGCATCTTCCAATCTTAATTTTAGAGCCCTTGTTCTTCGTCCAGAGCCCCTAGACTGGGAAAAGGTCAGAATGCAACATGTTTCAAAGCTGCTGTGCTCTGGGTGGCTGTCAGACTGTTGGAGAGAATTGCTTTCAAAACCCAGAGTATGCCACCATCTACTCAGTTTCAGATTAGCGTAACCCACAGCACCATGCTATGGCAGGGGAAGCTATAATCTTTGCTTTTTGTTATCATTTAAATTCACTTTTAAAAATATTAAGATTCTCAAACAGCCAGATTCTGAACATGCAGTCTTCCCCATTGCTATCAATTATGTCTAAGGCAAAAAAAGAGGACCAAAACTTCTATTTTTTCTAACTTTTATTTTAGGTTCAGGGGTACAGGTGCAGGTTTGTTATATAGTTAAACTCGTGTGACGGGGGGTTGTTGTACAGATTATTTTGTCACCCAGGTACTAAGCCTAATACCCAATAGTTATTTTTTCTGCTCCTCTCCCTTCTTCCAGCCTCCACCCTCAAGTAGGCCCCTGGGTCTGTTGTTTCCTTCTTTGTGTCCCTGTGTTCTCATCATTTAACTCCCACTTATAAGTGAGAACATGTGGTATTTGATTTTCTGTGTCAGTTTGCTGGGGATGATGGCCTTCAGCCCCATGCATGTTCCCTCAAAAGACATGATCTCATTCTTTTTTATGGCTGCATAGTATTCCATGGTGTATATGTACCACATTTTCTTTATCCAGTCTGCTACTGATGGACATTTAGGTTGATTCCATGTCATTGCTGTTGTGAATAGTCCTGTGATGCACATTTGTGTGCAGGTGTCTTTATAATACAAAGATTTCTACGCCTTTGGATATATACCCAGTAATGGGATTGCTGGGTTGAATGCAAAACCTCAATTTTACAACTTGAAATATTGAAGCGGGAAATGTAAGTGAAATCCCAAATTGGCATGCCATACTAAATGTTATTGTAATAACTTATTTAATATTTGATTATCCAAGCACGTACTTTTGTACCACATTCTGCTCAATAAATGTAGAAGGAAGTGCCGCCATTTTGGATTGCAGCAGTACCTCTTCGTGCAGTGAAAATCTTTTATGTTGTGGCCCAGCCAGACCCTCAGTGCAGTTTGCATATAGCTTTGGGGCCTGTAGTGCTGTGGTAACCATTGTTGAACCCCAAATATCCAAGACAGGTCTCAGTCAATTTAGGAAGTTTATTTTGCCAAAGTTAAGGTTGCGGGCCCATGACACAGCCTCAGGAGGTCCTGATGACATGTGCCCAAGGTGGTCAGGGCATAGCTTGGTTTTATACATTTTAGGGAGACATGAGACATCAATCAACATATGTAAGATATACATTGGTTCTGTCCAGAAAGGCAGGACAACTCGAAATGGGGAGGGGGCTTCCAGGTCATAGGTAGGTAAGAGACAAATGCTTGCATTCTTTTGAGTTTCTGATTAGCCTTTCCAAAGGAGGCAAACAGGTATGCGTTTATCTCAGTGAGCAGAGGAGTGATTTTGAGTTGTGTCTGTCCTTTGTCCACAAGGATATTCCTTGTGAGGGAGGTATGTAGCTTTTTTTTTTTTTTTATCTTAGTAGCTATCGTTTTTAGGAATACAGTGGAGGCAGGTTTGCCCTAAGCAGTACCCAGCTTGACTTTTCCCTTTGGCTTAGTAATTTTGGGGGTCTCCTTTCACATCATCCACGCAGCAGCAACTTCTGGTGAACACACTGTTCATTATTCCAGGCACCACTTATGCAGTCTGTCTTTCCCTGATACAAATTCTCAGATTTCTTTGAAATTAAAACTGTTCTAAATCTGCATACTGGATATTACTTCATTCACATTATATTTATTTTAATTATGTAACACAAAGTTGTAAAACTTCTGTTAGTCTTAATATAGACTCATATATGTCCTGTGTCATCAATGTGAATTCCATTTTCAATCCTCACCTCAGGATGATTACGAGCAAAGCACAGTGTGTCTAAGCTCCAATGCTTCACACTAAAAACAGCAACAAAGGCCACCAGTTGCAAAACAGAATCGTTCTCGCTCTCAGATGTGTTCTTTTTATCCTTAAAATCAGAGCATTCATTTCCGTTTGGATGCACTATTTATTTTTATATCAGAAATTATTTTCACTTAGCAGTTGAATGGAATTTGTTTGCAGGCTTTCTTTCAATAGTATTTCCTTCTTCTTGAGGATATATGAATTCTAAGGAAACTGCAGCACATTTTGTAAAAATCCAAACCAATTATCTCACCCCTGCCTACAAAGAAGTCTTTGTTATTTTTCTATTATTATTAAAATATATCAGCAAGATTTTTTGGCCTTTATAGTTCTTTGGTATTTCAAAATGCTTCTGTATGATGTTATTGCTTTAAATCATCACAAACCCTGTGAAGAAAGAATTATTTTTCTAATTTACAAATAAAGAAACTGAGGTCTTAGAAGACTGAATTCATTTCCTCGTCTCTCTTTCTTTGCACTATGGGTTATCTTGATGCTTTACTGATCCTGCTCTCCCCTGAGACATGTGGACTCTGTTACTGTTTTCAGCAGGAAAATCATGGTTCTATTAATAGGACATGTGAATCTTTTTATTTCCTGTAATGAAAAGAGCACAAAAAGGAAACTTTGATTTGTGTAACGTAATCGTATGGATCATATCAACCCATTACCCTGGGTATAGAGCAGTTTCCCAGTTTCACATCCGTCATTCTGCTGAAATGGGTGGCTTTTTTCCACATTTTACTCACCTGATGGATTTGATATAAAACCTGTTTTTCTATGGATGTGAGGCTCTGGAGGTTTTGTAGTCTATCAACACATAAAGGCTGCCTGGCATTACAGCACTCCTGCTCTGCACAGTGGTGGAGTGTAGCTAAATGCAGCTCAGTCTTTTTACAGCTCAGCTATGACCATCCTTCATTACAACAGGGCAGATGATAAAATGGAAACTTAATGCTATTAGATCATGAATTCCAATTATATGAAGAGAGATGGAGGTAAGAGAAATTAGATGCCAAAAGGAGATACAATAAAGACAGAAGTGACGTTCACAGGGCTGGCAGTTCTCAGAACCATTGTCACCCATCATTGTCAGTACCACCTGAGGACCCGGTGAAGATGACTAGCATATCAGATATCTGAGAAGGGAAATGCTGAGTGTGTCCAAACATCCAAACAAATAATGCCAAACCTAGAAAAGCTTCTGTCCATATGGGTTAAATAGCTCTTCAATTCTGAAACTGTCAAAAGTAGGCTTTGCAGATGGTCATGTCAAGCAATGATAATAACTGGTAGTGGAATTCCCATGGTTCAAATTTATTAAAAAAAACACACTATTTTCATTTATTCAAGAAACACATATTGAATACCTGTGTGTCAAGCTAGATATTACAGTTAGAAATATATAGAAAGCACAATCTCTGCTCTCTGAAATTTGCAGCCTAGCAGAGGAGAGGAACACATGAAAGTAATTATAATAACAAGTTAGATGCAATGATAGATACAAGATATCCTAGGAGGACAGGGAAATAGTACCATGCCCAGTCCGGGGATACGTCAGAAAGACTGTCTGGAGGAGGTGGCATCTGAACTGAGTCTTAAAGAATGAGTAGAAATCAAGTCCAATGTGGTATATGAACTGAGAGAGAGAAGGGGAGGATGTTGTAGAAAAAGACAATCCAAAAAGAGGAAACAGTGCAAATAAAGCTGGAATCCACACACACCATTGTCATGGTGGGAACAATGGTAGCTGCATGTTGCTGAAATATACATTCTGAGGCTAGGAGTAGAAAGAGATAAGGCTGGCAAAGCAGGCCTATGCTTACTATGCCATGTCACCGAGCTTGCAATACTATATATTCTGCAAGCTATTTGGAACCGTTGGGATTTGATGCATGAGAGTGAAATGGTCGGTTTTGCATTTTATTTTATTTTTTATTTTTTTTTTTTATTTTTTTGTGATGGAGTCTTGCTCTGTTGCCCAGGCTGGAGCGCAATGGCACACTCTTGGCTCACCACAACCTCCACCTCCCAGGTTCAAGTGATTCTCCTGCCTCATCTCCCAAGTAGCTGGGACTACAGGCACCTGCCACCACACTCAGCTAATTTTTGTATTTTTAGTAGAGACAGGGTTTCACCATGTTGGCCAGGCTCGTCTTGAACTCCTGACCTCAGGTGATCCACCCACCTCGGCCTCCCAAAGTGCTGGGATTACAGGCATGTGCCACCATGCCCGGCCTTGTTTTGCATTTTAGATGGATTTCTCTGTTGGCTTTATCAAGGATGAATTTGAGATGAGCAGCAGCAGGAACAGAACCAAGTTAGGAGGCTGCTGCCACATCCAGGCAAGAGACAATGCAGAGCCAAGGCAGCAGAAGGAATGGAGAGGAGGAGACACAGCACAGACTATTTAGAAGGTGTGGCTATCAGGCCTTGGGGATTGACTGGATGCTAAGGAAGGGCTCCCAGGTTCCTGCCTTGAATGGCAGAGTGGGAAAAGCTCTACCTTCTGAGATGGAGAATACTGTGGATATAGTTAATTTGGAAGAAAAATGCTTGCTTTCAGATATTTAGAGTTAGATCTCTACTATGAGTTTAAGGCTAAAATAGGCATTTCTTACTGGACAGCTTTACCTTGATGATTTATACTGAAGATCTAACTTATGCACAAATTTGGGAATCGTTAACATATGATTAGTACTTGAAATCATGAAATGGGTGAAAATTACTCAGGAAAAGAAAAAAAGCATAAATATTCATCCCTGGGACACAGGAACATTTTGAAGTTGTCATTCCCCAGAGTCACCCCCACCCCCATGGCACTTCAGTGTACTGCACACTTTGAGATATATATATATATATATATATATATACATATTTTTTTTTCCTAATAAATAGAGACGAGGTCTCACTATGTCGCCCAGGCTGGTCTCAAACTCCTGGGCTCAAGCAATCCACCGGCTTCAGCCTCCCAAAGTGCTGGGATTATAGACCTGAGCCACTATGGCCAGCCTGATAGTCTACTCCTTAACCTACAGGAAGCAGACATCAATTTGTTTTACAACCTCTACATGCAAAAAATACTACATAGTCTTATTTTTACTAAATCAAAACTTTGTTTCTTGCTAAATCTTCTTCCCCTCTTTGCCAGGGTGTAAAAGATTCAGTCTTGTTATTCCCCGCTTTCTGGAATCAATCACATAGCAACCTTTAGGGCTTACCCAGGACAGAAATTGGAGTGAGGACAGGAAGGCCACAAGTTCCCATGACACACCTAGCTATTCACGTCTCCGCTTCTAGTTATTAACTTTGAGCCCCGGTAGACCTAGGATTACTCAGGCATAAATAATAGCCCCCCAAATGAAAAGTGGGAAATTGTAGAGCCCTAATGTGGAGAGCCTGAAGAGCTTCATAAAAAAATCTTAGACTTGTTCCCACCCTCCAAACATGTGAAACACACAACTGTTTCAAACATTTTAAATGTACCGAAATTACCTCATAAGTACCCTTTATATTTAAATGCACTAATAATGGGATTGACATGTAAGAATTTCCATGACTAGGAACAAGCCCGTTTTACCACAAGCCCCAGAACCTGGCTATAGGTCAGCTCACAGCAGTGCAGGAAGCACCTCAACTGCTTTCACCAGCATATTCTTTTTCTCTGTGGGACCCCATCCCCATTCTAGCCCAAAGGACCCGAATCACAGAGACACACAGGGTGAAATATTTATGTTGTTGACTCCTCCCGCAAACTTGTCCTCTGATCATTTTGTGTTGCAGCCGTGAAACAGGCTTGCTGGACGGGAAGAAATGCTGCAGAGAGAGTGGCTGACTCAAACCCATGGACAGCATTTTATTAATAACTTGCAGCCCTTCATTCTAAGTGAAGCTTGCCCAATAAAATGAGGCCTAGAGCTGAACAAAGCTCCTCTTACCTAACCTGAATGTACAAAAAAGGTTTAATTAAGGAAGTAATTTTTTTCTCCCGTAAGGAAATCTTGACAAATAGACTCAAATTTGCATGCAAATGAAGCCATCTGGTTGATTGTTGTCCACAGTCCCCAGCTCACAGGAAACAATAGAAGGCCCTTTGCATAACTCAGAGAATCTGCAAATCTCTAACATTTGGGTCACTAATAATTTTCAGAGTAATTAGTCTCTTCAGAGCTGCTATTTACATTGGAAGGTGTTTGCCATTTACAGCAGAAGCTATAGATATTCTTCTAGGTGCAGCCCCAGTGTGAGCCATTTGGTGACCTGAGGAAATCACTCAATCTGGGAGGGGAATGACAAGACCATTGGCCACTGGAGCCAGCCTGGCAGCGACACTCCTCACCAAACTGCAGCCCAGAGTGCCTTCACGCAGTCTTCTCCATGCGAGCCAAACGCAGACTCTTCTAGCCACCATCTCTTCCCCCTTCCTAATTCCCCATCTCCCCTCTGGGGAGGGAGGAGACAGGGCAGGGGCAGGCACACCAGGCAGGGCCTCTACTTCTCATCACCTGTCTCTGCTACTCTGCAGTTATCTCCCGTAAACATTTGTTCAAATGCAATCATGTCCATTGCTTGGGTAACTCTACCTTCTTAGTCGTCAGGTCCCTCCTCCTTTCATCAGATTTTTACTTAATGGCTACTCTACAAAGCGTAACACAGGGCTGGTGCTCAAGGATGATAGCTCTGATTCATGTGTCCTGAATGGAATTACCAAAAAATTAAAAAAAAAAAAATCAGTGGAGATGAAGAGATAGGGAGTACAGAGTTTTGGAAGCTAGTGAGGGAGCAGAGGAAGGAAAGAGATGACGAGGACAAAAGGGCAGACATGGGTGAGGTTGAGAGGAGTAAACCAGCTGAGGAAGTGACCGCTGCAGGCTTAGCTGTCAATCCTGGGGTTTGCTGCTCCCCGTGGTTGGAACTGGAGGACATAATGCTCTGTGAAATAAGCCAGGCACCGAAAACAAATACTGCAAGCTCTCATGCATGAGTGGAATCTAAAACAACAGACTCAGAGAAGCAGAGAGGAAGATGGTGGGTACAGAGGCTGGAAGGTGCAGGGAATGGGGAGATGGTCAAAGAGTGCAGTTAGGAGGAACATGCTTGGTTGGTTAAGTTGTATTGCACAGCTTGGTGAATGTAGTTAGTAATAGAATATGTATATTTCACAATTGCTAAGGATGAATTTCAAATGTTCTTATCCCCCAAAATGTTAAGTATTTGAGGTGATGGATATGTTAAGTACCTTGATTTAATTATTTCACTTCATATTCATAAATCATAACATCACTTTGTACCCCATGAATTTATACAATTATACATTGTCAATTTATGATTTCTAAAAAAGCATTAGTACCTGTGGTAAATCAGGCTCAGGGGAAAAGCCTCAGGGTTTGTCGTCTTACTGTTCACACATTGAAGGAAAAGAGGCTCCTCTTCCATCTTTCCCCATTCCTTGGCCAAGCCCTTGCACAGGCTGACTGTAAGTGAAATTAAAGAATATCAGTGTAGTAGTAAGTAATCACATTTGTTGATCTTTTGTTTTGTGCCTAGCACTCTGCTAAATGTATTTCATGGGTTATCTCCTGAGATTCTTACCATACCCTATAAAAGAGGTTCCACTGTTATTCTGTTCCTGGACCAAATAGGGTCGAGCTGCTTATTCTCACCACCCAATAAGAGATGCAGATGAACTGGGAAAGAAGAGAGGTGTTTTGTTTTGTTTTGTTTTGTTTTGTTTTGTTTTGTTTTGTTTTGTTTGAGATGGAGTTTCGCTCTTGTTGCCCAGGCTGGAGTACAATGGTGCGATCTCGGCTCACCGCAACCTCCGCTTCCCAGGTTCAAGTGATTCTCCTGCCTCAGCCTCCCAAGTAGCTGGGATTACAGGCATGCACCATCATGCCTGGCTAACTTTGTATTTTTAGTAGAGACAGGGTTTCTCCATGTTGGTCAGGCTGGTTTCAAACTCCCGACCTCAGGTGATCTGCCCGCCTTGGCCTCCCAAAGTGCTGGGATTACAGGCGTTGAGATTCTATTTCTGTAACTGGGTACAGGGAGAACACCTGGAAATTATCGCCAGATCAACTCAAACTTACAAAGTTTTCCAGAGCTTACATACCTTGTAAGCTATATGTCTATGAGTAAGTGTGCATTTATCTAAAGACATAAGTGACTCACTTCTTTTAATTTATAACTAAGATCTGAGTCCTGAAGACCTTCCTCTGGAGCCTCAGTAAATTTACTTAATCTAAATGGGTTCAGATGCTGGACTAATGACCCTTGTCTCCTGCTAAATCATGGAGGTTTGGGGAGTTCCTTCAGACCCCCATTAAACTTGTTTGTGGAGGCCTGGGGAGTTTCTTCAGACCCCCAATGAAACTTGTTTAATCCTAAACAGGTCCTGTTAAGAATTCCTTCATTATCTTGCCATGTTTCAAGGTCCAGAAAAGGCCTAGGCAAACTCTCGGTGGGCTTTTGTTACATCCTAACCTTTGTATAAGGGCACTGCTTCTTTCAGCTTTTAATATTTAACTTAACCATTCAGTCAGTGCTGAAACAGTTGTTATGGAGGCCTGCATTAGTAAGACCTGGTCTGCCACAATTCCACTGTACACATGAGGATTTAGGAAGGCCAAATGATCTGCCTCACGTTGCCCAGTAGGTGGAGATGGTAGAGCCAGAATGGGAACCTGGAGGTCGGCTTCCTCAGCCTGCACACGGAAACAGTGCAGGGAAGCTTCACCAGGTGACAGCCCAGAGCAGCCCAGGGACTCACTTCCTGTCATCACTCCCACCCCCCACCACCTCATCCTGGTAGTACCACCCGCGCCAATGCTTCTAGGGCTCTTGCTGGACCCACAGGTGGACTGTGACTTCAGTCTGTTACCTCCTTCTCTTCATTCTCCACGAAAGAACTTCAGCACATCACAAGTTCAGTTACTTCACTACTGGCAGTAAAGGAAAATCTGTAAGTCCAGGCTGTTGACAGGCAGGTGGGAAGCAAGCTGTGGAGCTCCAAGAGGCCCAGGAACCGGAGGCAGGCAAGGGCCGGGCTCAGAGCCGGAGGAATGGCGGAACGTCTATGTGAGGGTCAGTCACACCCCAGCTCCCCGCTATGACCCTGCCAGTGACTGTCCTACTCTACCCATGCAGGAAGTGGGGGTTCACACTCCAGACACCAGGCACCAAAAAATGGGGGTAAAGCTCCTTAATAAAAACAGAGGAAATTGACTTAATAAGGTTGACCCCTCTCCTTAGCCTTCTTCCTGTCAGCTTCCCAAGCACTGAGCAACAGACATATATTCCTCATGAGGAAAGTAGCGGATTCTTCTCTCAAGATATTGAACATTCAGTGACCAAAACAAGTCACAGATACTGACATTCGGAGTCCCTTCAATGGGACAGGGGACTCTCCATGTGATCATGAAGCCCAAACATCAAATCCACCACCATCCCAGACACACACACTCCAGATTGCAGTCAGCTGTCTAGTACTTGACTGTTCGGTATAAACAGACAGGTGAGAGTCACCAACTATGTAGGATAATGTCAGAGATGTCATAAAAGAAGGGACCCCCAAACTCACAATCCAGGGTAGGGGTGGGTGGCAGGAGGTCTGGGAAGAAACAGAGGCGACAGAGAAAGCAGAAGAAAACTTTTGATAATTAAATTAATATTCTCAGAGAGACAAGAGAAGATATTGAGATATTGCCTCCAAAAAAATTAGAATGGGGTGCTATGAAAAAGGGGACTATCAGAGAACGAGAAATAATACTTGGAAATTTAAAATATGATAGCTGAAATTAAAACACAATGACAGTATTGAAAATAAAGCTGAGGAAATTTCCAAAGAAGTAGAACACAAAGGAAAAAGATCAAAATGTGGAACAAAATTAGAAAAAAAAAAATCTAAAATAAATAGGTGTTTGAGAAAAGGGATCAGAGAAATTATTAAAGTCTCAGACCTCATATGGGAGAAAAATCTATATCAAGGCAATCATGAAGTTCCAATTAAAAGAGTTAAAGAAAAGATCCTGAAAGTTTCCAGAAAGGAAAAAAATGTAGGTTGCATATAAGGCTTCGTAAACAGAAAGCAGTTGCTTTCCCGGTAGCAGCCCTGACAGCCTGACAATTTTCTTTCTGGAGTTTCTCAATTAAGTGCGAAAGTAGAATAATGACTCATCAGAGGAACATGGGTTTAGAAAGTTAACCTCGAGTATCTCTTTTCTCAAGGAGCTACCTGAGAATGTGTTTCAGGAAAATGAGAGTGTAGACCTAGGAAGTGGATGTCATGAGATCCTGAAACTTGGGGATGTAATACCAAAGTGTGGCAAAAGGAAGTCCCTGCACTAATGGCAGAGGGAGGTCCCAGGACAAGGGCTGTGCAGGAACCCTGAGAAGACCCCGTCCAGGTGGGAACAGAGGAAAGAGAGCCATAGAAGATGCCTCCAGGGGACAAAAACGTGACTGCAGATGGCCTGATGTGTGCAATGTTGGAAAATGTTTGAGAAGAGTTTTACTGCTGTGTTAGAGAATCTGGAGAGAATTCGTGGCAGATACATAGAAAAATAAGCAAATGAAAAAAATAATTATGGATTTTAAAGAAACTAAATACAAGAAAATACAATTGCAACAAACAAAAATATAAGAAAATACAATTACATACAACAAAATGCAAGAAAATACAATTTAAAGAAAATACAAGTAGATTTTATTGGTTGGCTTTTAAATAATATTACATAGTCCTAAAATATGAATACTGTGCTAAATTTTAGTATTATTATTATTATTATTATTATTATTATAGTGTCTTACTGTTGCCCAGGTTGAAATGCAGTGACATGATCACAATTCACTGCAACCTCGAACTCCTGAGCACAAGGGATCCTCCTGCTTCAGCCACCCAAGTAGCTAGAACTACACAGCTATTTTTTTTCAGAGACAGGATCTCACTGTGTTGCCCAGGCTGGTCTTGAACTCCTGGCCTCAAGCAATCCTCCCACTTCAGCCTCCCCAGTCACTGCAATTACAGGTGTGAGGCACCATGCCAAGCTTGAATTTCAATATAACCAAAAATCTGTGATTTAGCTATTTGGGGAGAATATAGAGAAAGGGGCTGGGGAAGCAGGCTTATAAAAGTGCTAAATTCTCATCTTATATTCAGGAAAATCAGTAGAGAATATCTAAAAGGTATAAATCAATAAGTAGCTCCAGAGGTTTTTTTTTTTAAAAAAAAATACAGCTGTTTAATTGAAAGAGTTAAAAGTGTGAGAAGGTGTCTCTAAGGAATTGGGAAGGGGCGGGAAGCAGGGAACTGCTTTTTGCTTTAGTCCTAGCACCACTAGACTTTTATAACTATGTACATGTAATACTTTGTTAGAAACAAAAATTAGGTTGAAAATGAAATGCTGTCCATCAGAAAATGTGCTCAGAAAGCTTGAAGTTGGAATCCTATACTATCTTAGTCTGTTCTTGCACTGCTGTAAAAAAATACCTGAGACTGGGTAATTTATAAAGAAAAGAGGTTTAATTGGTTCACAGTTCCCGCAGGCTGTACAGGAAGCATGATGCTGGCATCTGCTCCGCTTCTTGGGAGGCCTCAGGAAACTTACAATCATGGCAGAAGGCAAAGGGGATGTACACATACCCCGTGGATGGAGCAGGAGCAAGAGAGAGAAGGGAAGGTGCTGCACACTTTAAACAACCACATCTCATAAGCACTCAATCACTATCACAAAGACAGCACCAAGGGCAATGGTGCTAAACTATTCATGAGAAACCGCCCCCAGGATCCAATCACCTCCCACCAGGCCCCACAACATTGGGGGTTACAATTAGACATGAGATTTGGGTGGGAACACAGATTTAAACCATATCCAATACCAAATAATCACTGGTCGGATTCAAGTAAGTGGCTGCTATGAAATTTGTGTGAAGATATGATAGTGCATTTTCTATTGATGCTTAATTGGGGTTTAAAATGATGTGATGATGGAGACCAGCAAGCCTGCTTTGCAGGCTCAGCCCCGCTCTCCTGCACTAGCTAGAGGTGCCTCCCTGGTTCCTCTTGCCACACGTGATGAGCCCTGGCCTTGCCTAACATGCAGTCACAAAGCTTCTCATGTGATTGACTCACTTCCAAGCTGCAGAGCCTTCAGTGTCATCTCGATCATTCTGTAAAGCTTTTGACTCCAGCCCCGGGCTGGGTCTCCAGTCCCTCTCTACCTGCCTCATTATTCTGTTACTGTTGACTGACCCTTCCAGTCTCAGACACTAATTTCTGTTCTGTCTCACATCTTTCATATCTTCCCTCTCAGTTTCCAGCCTTGCCTCCTCCACTTATCCGTGCTGGCCTGGTCCCTGCCACCTCCTTTGGCACTCTCTTTGCCATATAGTGAATCTCTTATTCCCAGCTTGGCATTCTCACCCATTGTCACTTTACCTCCATAGCACTGACCTTGGTAGCAAGTACAAATTGCAGTGATTTCAATAACCTTAAGGTTATGATACCATCAGTCTTGCAAATGCATGGTATTGTTCAATGAAGTCTATAGGGAGTTATAGAAATAAAGCCATGGATAAGGAGAATTATGGTGTGCTAGTGGAAGCAGTATCCAGTTATCAGTAGGTGCTAAAGCAGCATTAGTTTTTATTTATATTTATTTAGCATCTTTAACACCCAGGTTACCAAAAAGAACATTCTGTCTCATGAGGACTTTGTAAAAGGAGTGAAAATGGATATAAATGAGAGGGGCAATGAGTTACTTATGTATTGATTGAATAATTATTTATGAATGGTGACTATATTCTGAGGCTGAAGATTACTGAGAGGAAATGTTTTCATGCCGGCTTTCATGGAGTCTATGATCAGTTGGGAGCAGTATCAACAAACAATAATAACTCTTTGCATCCAGAAGCGCTATCAGCACTGGAAAAGGCACGCATATAATCTTGTTATAATAAAAAAATCCCAGAGATTGGGCAACAGATTCCTCAGAACAGGACTCAGAGATGGTGACCATGGGCTGGAGCAGAAGCATCCATGATTTATTATTTGTACCACACTCACTGAAAGCCTGTAAGTCCACATCCCATTAAGCATGTTTACTTACAAATCCCATCCATGTGCCACTGCATTTATATAGTGTACATTATAAAGTATAACTAAAATCGATATTAAAGGATAACATTTTTAAAATAAGTAAAAGCAGAAGTTCTAACATCATCTGCCTGAGCCCCAGTGATCACCCTTGGCACCTCCTGAGCCGCACTCCTACTTTGATACCATCAGTCTAATCCAGAGTGGAGTCCTCCCTGTTGCTTCTGAAGAATCTGGATTTAATAAGCTCATCCAGAGATTTGAGATAACTCACAATTGACAACTCCAAGGGCATCATGTGATAATCCAGATGTTTCCAGGATAGTGGGAAAAACCATTTGTACAAGGCATGACTTCCCCGTGAATGAGTCTATTCAAGAGATCAAATTAGATTGAAGTTGCTTAGTGAGCATAGAATTAGAATAAATGGAATTGTGGTCTATAGAGATATTTCATCACACTTGAATAACTGATGGAACTACTTTTCTCCTCTCTGCGGATATTTCTGTCTGAATAACCAGTGCTGGGCCTCAAATAAATACTGACATGTTTTACTTTTAGCTTTCCTTTTTCTAGAATCATTTTAGACAACTGCCCTTCTGTTAATACATCACCACCTCAGAAAATAAGAAGGTACTTGATTGGATTGAAATTTTAAAATGTTAATTGCATTCGTATCCTGGGGATACAGCCTAAAGAGACAGAATTGCTTTGCTTAAGGCTGAAGTCTGGCTGGGGACTTTGATCTCTGCAGGCTCTCGGGTCCTTAAAGGGCTCTCACCCAATTAGGATGAGCTGAATCCTTCTGGCCCTGGGCCTCATCTTTATTCCCTCCCAGCTTCAGGACTCTCTGATGAGCGAGAGCGTAGATTTAGGTTTTCTCACAGAGGTGCACCTGAACGCCTCTTGCTGTGTAGTAAGGCAGATGTTGAGGGGGGAGGAAGGCTTACCCTTGATAACTAGCAACTTGAGCTTTGCAAAGCGCCTTTCTGTTCCTGTTACCAGTAGCCTACACTACATCATACAATATTCTCCTCCCCAAGAAGAAAGCAACCTATTTGCCTATTTTCTCCTACTGAAATCTATGATTTTATACTTTGTTTAAAAAAAAAATAGCAGCCGAGCATGGTGGCTCATGCCTGTAATCGCAGCACTTTGGGAGGCTGAGGCAGGTGGATCACTTGAGGTCAGGAGTTCGAGACCAGCCTGACCAATATGGTGAAACCCCGTCTCTACTAAAAATACAAAAATTAGCCTGGCATGGTGGTGTGTGCCTGTAATCCCAGCTACTCAGGAGGCTGAGACAGGAGAATCGCTTGCACCTGGGAGGGGGAGGTTGCAGTGAGCCTAGATCGTGCCACTGCACTCCATCCTGGGCCACAGAGCGAGACTCTGTCTAAAAAAAAAAAAAAAGAAGAAGCTTAAGACTGCACTAAGATTAGGAACACATTAAGAACAGTTTTTACCCTAATGAAGATATTTACAAACATATTTTGCACTAGTTCCCTGTTTATGTATTACCTGCGACAGTAATTAATAGGAATGCCATTGGCTGAGACAGCTTCAGAGCCCTAGATACCTAGGGAAGCAAGCCAAATCCTCTTCAATGTAAATACTGAAACGAAACTAAGCTTATCAGCAATCAGAAACCACCACCTAACCTCTAACTAAAGACTTTCCACATTAACCAATCAAACGGTTTCTTTGTCTTGCATCCACAAACACATTTCTCTCTCTCCAACCCCGCACCCCAGTAGACAACTTGAATTCTGGTGCTGCCCAATTCACGAATCACTGAATGTCCAAATAAACATGTTAAGATTTTAATATGCCTAAGTTTATCTTTTAACATGCCTGGGGACTTATCTAGATGTTGCTATATTCTAGACATTTCTAAAAACAAAAACAAACAGCATTAATTAAATAAGACCATATTTTAATATTTCATAATTTAAAATTATGACTTAAGCATGGCAGAACCAACACAAAGTAACTTTTATTTGAAAATAGTAGCTCAATTTAATATTGCATATGTGTATAATTTGCATAAAAGGAAGGAAAAATATCATTTGTGTATGAATAGAAACTAATGGAGTGCACTTAGTTGATTCATTGTGCCTTTTGGAGAAAAGATATAGCAAATACCGTGTTTTTTAAAAAGCATACATTTGGAGTTTAGTATCAGAGCTCAAGGCTTTAGTAACTGCTTTAAATCACACCCATATATTTTAGTCTTTAGCTGTGACAGTAAGTGTACTCAGAAATGTGCACATTAAAAAGGAATTTCTCCCCTGAAGATGAAGTTGAGAGCCAACTCTTGATCCCATATTAAATTCTTAGTCCATCTGTCCTAATGGAGTCTGAGTAACGCAGTTTGGTGTTTTTATTGCATCCTGCGAGCTGCTTTTCTCCTGGAAACACTGGCTGCTCTGTCAGGCAATGAGTGGGGAGAGGCAGCTGGTACAATCACATCTTCTCCAAGAGCTCAAGGACAGAGGCTGGCTGAGAGCCATTTGGTGGGCTCACTGCCTCATCCCCATACTATACAACAATCCCACAGGCCAGAGCCTCACCTGCAGTCCCCAGGAGGAAGTAGGAAGGGAAGAGAAGGCAACTCACCTCTGAGAGTTTGGCGCAGGAGAGGTGAGGAAACTGCCCTAGCCTAGTCTGGTCACTTCTGCCTCGTTCCCGGCTCCTCACCTCCTCCAGGCTCCGTCAGTTGTATTCCTGAAGCACCTGCACCAGGTGTCTGGGTGGCCGTTGACACAGGAGTGAGCACTGGCTCTTCCAAGGCAGAGGTGGATGAAAAGCAAGAGCAAACTACCAAAAACTTTGTTCTTACTTTGTCATCCTGAGGTTTATCTCAGATGCTGCTTGCACCAGACCAAAGCTACCAGTACATATGCAGGAGTTCAAAACAGCCCCCACCCACCCACAGAGTAACCCCAGGGGCTTCTCCCAATTGTTGTGTCTATTGGCATTTACTTCTTAGAGTCCCATAGGACTCCTTGGTAGGAACCCCAACTATATCAATCTTTATTGTTATATAATTATAAAATATTGTTTATCATAAATATTATAAAATATTTTATTGTACAATTTATAGAAATTCTATATTAATATTTAATTTTATATAGATTGTATATATTAATACTTTAAATATCTTTATATGTAAATGAATATTATATAGACACACATATAACTTTTGGAAAGTCAAAAATATATTTGTGAGGATTTGGTCCAATGTTGTTCAACAGAATGAGAGAAAATAATGACTATTGCTAATGGTACTTATTAAACTCAAGCAATGGGTATCTGTTACATGACTAGGCTGATCAGGGTGTGAGTTAACCTGATTTTTTTGTTTTCTTCCCACAGGGAATTATTGGAATGCCGCCTCTTTCCCAAACCCATCCTCCTACCTGCACTTCTCTACTTTCCAAGGGGAAACTAGCGCTGACATTTCTTTCTACTTCAAAACATTAACCCCCTGGGGAGTGTTTCTTGAAAATATGGGAAAGGAAGATTTCATCAAGCTGGAGCTGAAGTGTGAGTATAAGTTGCTTGTCAACTCATGGGGAGCCACTTTCGTCACCTCAGGGTGGTCCGGGTCCTGATTGTGGAAGGCCTTTTGATTCAAACGTGGAAGGTTTCCTTTGTTCCAGGAGCAGGACTAGAGGTGGACACACAAGCCTGAGTTTGGGCTCCAACCTCAGTCCCTGTCCTTGGGATGCTCTCAGGGAAGCAGGCACATCCAGATTCTCAAGCAATTAGTCAAGAAGATGAGAGAGAACACACCGCCCTGAGAATGTGGGAGAGGAATGTTTATCTTCAGCTTCATGTCTTGTGTGGCTGTTTTCCAAAGAGACAGGGTCAAAAATAGGTGAGGGGTGTGTGCATTGACCCGAGGAGCAGGGAGTGAGGAAAATCATGTCAAGGTCAAGGAAGACAGGAATGATAACTAGTGACATCCGTGTGAGTTCAGGAGGCCACGGAGACCACAGGACTGGGCAATTCCATGACACAGAGTCTGCAGGATTCCTACAGAGGACCCACACCTGCCCACCCTCTGCAAGTGAGTTCTGGATGTCATGTACTTAGCCAAAGATACAGAGACAATAAGAGGCAGAGCAAGAGAGGATGCTGCTTAGCTCAGCTCAGCTGGCCTTGGAGCAAACATCCTAAGGGGGCGTTCAGGCTTGGGGAGCTCCGTCAGTGGAAGGTGGGGGTTAGCTGCACAAGACTTGAGAAGCGCAATGCTTGCCCTACCTGGACCCTTTAAACATCAGGGCCCCAATTCAGCTTTAGGAAGTTACAATCCCCTGACTTCCAGGCCAGTTGATTATTTGCAAATGTTGAACTCCGTTGGCTGTGAGAGTCAGGGAGACTCCACTGGCTGTGAGAGTCGGGGAGATCAACCACAAGGACGAGGCCAGGCTATGTCCCCTGTCCCTTTACAAAACCTCAGCCTTACACTCAGCATATCAAAAAGTCTCCCTTCCGGCCAGGCACGGTGGCTCACGCCTGTAATCCCACCACTTTGGGAGGCTGATTTGGGTGGATCACGAGGTCAGGAGTTCGAGACCATCCTGGCTAACACAGTGAAACCCCATCTCTACTAAAAATACAAAAAAAAAAAAATTAGCCAGGTGTGGTGGCGGGGGCGCCTGTAGTCCCAGCTACTTGGGAGGCTGAGGCAGGAGAATGGCGTAAGTAAACCCGGGAGGCGGAGCTTGCAGTGAGCCTAGATTGCGCCACTGCACTCAAGCCTGGGTGACAGAGCGAGACTCCGTCTCAGAAAAAAAAGTCTCCCTTTGCCAAGTCTGTCCCCTTTAAATGAGTGCTTATGTTCCTGGGTCTGGTCTGAGAATGATCCCAAATCCATTTCCCATTTCTGCTGAAATGCTATTGGATTCACAGTAGCATTCTTAGGTTCAATTCCACACCGTCAGGTAAATTGCTCAATCTCTTTGAATCCTAATTTTCTGATTTATAAAAAGGAAATGTTAATTTGTGGGATTGTGATGAGAATAGAATTTAAATACTCATAAGGCATTTATTTTGGTATCTAGTAGTTATTGTAATTATCATCTTCTGAGGATGCCCATGGCAGATCTGATCTGAGCCAGGTCTGATTGAAAGGGAGGCTAAGGCTATCCTGGTCCTAGAATTAAAATTAACTAATTAATTAAAATCCCCCCTTTACTGAATTCTGGATAAGAATAATTGAAAGGGGATTCTTGCTTCCCTCAGTTAAAATTAACTAACTGAATCAAACTATTTTCTGACTTCTACATAAGTTGGATCAAATTTTAGAAAGATTTTATGGCCACAAAAGAAAATTGCCAGTTCTATATTTGAGTGGTTCTGTAAGTTTCTATAAAAGTGCTTGGATTCCCCCATCTTTATTTTATGTCCTCAAGTTTTGTAAAGCCACGCCTGGGTAAGAAGGAACACATACTAGATAGAGGGAGAGCAGGTGTTTCTACTCAGCCCTCGGGGTCAAAGAATTTCTCTACTTTCTTCTACTTTTTTCTTTTTTTTTGAGACAGGGTGTCACTCTGTCACCCAGGCTGGAGTGCAATGGTGCAATCATGGTTCACTGCAGCCTCGAATTCCCAGGCTCAGGTGATCCTCCCACCTCAGCCTCCCAAGTAGCTGGGACTACAGGTGCGTGGCACTGCACCTGGCTAATTGTTGTGGTTTTTGTCACTGCGGGATCTCGCCATGTCGGCCAGGCTGGTCTCAAACCCCTGGGCTCAGGCAGTGTGCCTGCCTTGACCTCCCAAAGTGCTGGGATTACAGGCATGAGCCACTGCACCCAGCCACTAATTTCTAATTATGAAAAATCTTTAGAGCTGTCTTCAGAGTTTTCCAGGTCTTTCCACAGTATGAAAACCATGTGGCCCATGGTTCACAGTATGAATTACAGCCTCCTTTTGTCAAATACCTTTACTTTCACTGTATCCTTTACTCTGGGCAAAAACATGTGAAACGTTCAAGACCCAGATTCGAGCCTCTAATCTTCCCTCAGAGCCCCCTGTATCTACTAATAACCAGAGAGGGTGGAAAGACATTTTCACGATCCCCAAAATGTCACATATTAGATGCCCATCATTATATGTCATCTCCATCAGGGTTCAAAGGAGCCTCATGGAGAGGGAGGCAGACTTCTGTATTTAAGAAAAACTACAAAGCAAACCAAAAGTGGTGCTTTCATGAAGAACATGGAGAAAAAAATGGCCATGATGGAGGCTTGTTGCTGTCGCTGTCTCATCAATCACACTTTTTCTTTAATTTTTTTTTATTTTTTTTTATGGTGTCTCGCTCTGTCGCCCAGGCTGGAGTGCAGTGGTGCAATCTCAGCTCACTGCAACCTCTGCCTCCCAGGTTCAAGTGATTCTCCTGCCTCAGCCTCCCGAGTAGCTGGGATTACAGGGGCCCGCCACCGCGCCTGGCTAATTTTTGTATTTTTAGTAGAGACGGGCTTTCACCATCTTGGCCAGGCTGGTCTCGAACTCCTGACCTCGTGATCCACCCGCGTCGGCCTCCCAAAGCCCTAGGATTACAGGCGTGAGCCACCACGCCTGGCCGCTGATCATACTTTTTCAGTCAGACACTTCGCCATCAGGATTCCTGAGACATTGGGTAGAGAATTCTCTCAGGCCCACTTCCTTGTGTGAGGAATCACTCTGCAAACCTAATTGTTTTCACAACAGTGGCGGGCTACCAGAGGGGCCTCAGGAAACGTTGATTCTGAAGTTAAACTCTTTAGAACTGTCTCTATGTTTTTCCCATTTAGCTTGTTAGGCCTTCTGATCTCTTTCTGATAGGAATTCACATTTTTTTTCTCTAAGCGTGTCTCAGAGGAATTTGGTCACAGTTCATGACTACATATTGCTTTCCAGAATGACAGTTCTGTTAATTAATTACATTGTGCCCTTCTGTCAAGAGTGGAAGATTCTCGACTCAGAAAACAATGAGTCAGTGTACACTAAGTTAATGAGATACCATCAGCATCTTATGCACAAGTAGAAAAACACAGAGATAAAATTAGGGCAATCTCACTCATTAGCATGCTTTAATGGTAACATTTTAACCCTATACTTCATGTATTTACTATTCATATTTATTCATTCATTTAATGAGTATTTACTGAGTATCTACTATGTCCCAGGTACAGTGCTAGTGCTGAGGTAATTTAGTCAAATCAAGTGTGATTTCTTTCCCTCAAAGATCTTTCTGTTTGTTTTAGAAAGCAGGCAAGTAACTCAGGAGTTATGATAATAACAAAAATAGCTCAGCTTCATTCAGACTTTCAGGCCTCGTTCCAGGCGTTTTACGTGAATCATCTCACACTCCTAACCACCCTGTGAAGTGCATACTAGCATTCACATCTCCATTTTACAAACGAGGAAACTGAGGCACAGGGTGAGCAAGTTGCCTGGCCAAGGTCATACAGCCAGGAAGTGGCAGAGCTGGTGTTTGACCCCAAACATTATGTGTCTGTCCCAAAGTCATTGCTGCTAACCTTAAAGCACACTGCCTCACAGAACAGATAGCAAGAAAGAGGCCGGGAGCACTGAGGGGAATTTTTAAACCTGACTGGCTTGACAAGGAGCGCCTCCCAGGGATGGAATGCTTTAATTAAATTTTGATGGATAAGTAGAAGCCAGTAAGGTGAAGAAGTGGGGGAAGAACAGGAGCCAGGGAAAAAAGGAAGTTTCAGGATAACACCAAATGAACGAAGGTGTCGGAGACTGAACCGAAGGACCCAGGAGGGGACAGGTGCAGTGGGGAGGGGCAGGGGCCAGCAATAGCAAGGTGGGCACAGATGAGCACCCAATGCACTCTGCCAGGGGGAGCATCTGACTCAACATGACCCTGAAGGCTATGGAGAGCCAGGGCGTAACTTGATCAGGTTTGCATTCACCAGAGAAAAGACTGGAAGCCAGACAACCAGCCATGGGAGCCTCTGTTAAGACAGAGGCAGAATGCATAGAAAGAGAGGAAGACAGTGATGAAGCATTGTAGATATGAAAGATCCTTCAATGAGCCGAGATCACACCACTGCACTCCAGCCTGGGTGACAGAGCACAGAGCAAGAATACATCTCAAAAAAAAAAGAAAAAAAAAGAAAGATCCTTAACAGATAGATTCCACAGACATTCAACAAATACTCGTGAGGGTTAAGTGGACGGGAAGATCCTAGAATGAAACCAGTGTTTCTAGTTTTGATGTTGTGTGAGTGGGGCACCTTTCATGAAGGAGTCTGACATTCAAGAGCAAAATACAAACTGCATTCTGGATATTTTGAGACTGAGTCTCTGTGGGCTATAGGAGGATCTAATCAAGTGGACACATCTAGAGGATGCTGAATGGACAAGTCCAGAACCCAACAGAGAGGTCTCAGAAACTCAGTTTGGGAGTCATCATCACTTAGAGGATCAGGAAATAAGCATTCAGTACCCTCAGCATGGATGAGATTGCCCAAAACAAATGTGTAGAGAGAGGAAGCAAGATGTACAAGAAAGACAACCAGCTCACACCTGTCATCCCAGTACTTTGGGAGTAGCAGTAGGTCACACCTGTCATCCCAGCACTTTAGGAGGCTGAAGGGGGAGTATCACTTGAGCCCAAAAGTTTAAGACCAGCCTGGGCAACATGGTGAAACCCTATCTCTACAAAACTAAAAATAAAACATTAGCCAGGCATGGTTGGCTGCACCTGTAGTCCCTTAGCCTCCTGCCCAGAGGCTGAGGCAGGAGAATCCCTCGAGCCCAAGAATTTGAGGCAGCAGTGAGCTATGATCACACAGCTGTACCCCCTAGCCTGAGTGACAGAGCGAGACCTCGAGGAAGGGAGAGAAGGAAGGGAGACAAGGAAGGGAGAGCAGGAAGGAAGGAAGGAAGGAAGGAAGGAAGGAAGGAAGGAAGGAAGGAAGGAAAAAGAAAGAGAAAGAGAGAAACAGAGAAAGAAAGAAAAGAAAAAGGAAGAAAGAAAGAAAAGAAAACCACATTCAAGGAATAGAAGGAAGAAAACTAGTTTGCAGAAAACTAACAGAGAAGTAGGAAGACAGTGGTACCCAGAAACCAAATGAAAAAGACATTTCAAAAAGGAAAAAAAGAGGGTTAGATATTGCTGAGAGGTCCCTAAAACAAGGACATAAAGTGACCATCAGATTTAACATGTAGAGGTCACGGTCAAAAAGTCAGGTATCACTAGGGTGAGTGGAAGTGGATTTGGAGATCAAGAGAGGGTGGTTTTGTTCATTCTAGTTTGAGGATGGTAGAGACTTTAGCATTCATATAGTTGAAGGAGAAAACTATGGTAGAGAAGGGGGATTGGTAATACAGGAGATAAAGGGACTGGCTGAAGGAGCAAGGTCCCCATGGCTGTGGGCATGAGGTAGACCCAGCATCGCAGCACCTCACAGGGGTGAGAGGAAGAGGCGGAAGTAAAGAGAACAGCGTAAACCGCCCACTAGGAAGTGCCTTTCCAAATCAGAATTTGTTGTTGTTGTTGTGTGTGGACGTTTGTTTGTTAGTATTTTTGAGATGGCAAAGAAATATTGTTCAAAAAAAATTTATGGAGCAGATATCAGAAAACCCAGACTCTAAACTTTTCTTCATCACTAACAACCATGGATCTGTCCATGTATTTTTTCAGTTACCCCTAAGGGATTAGCTTGACTGCTCTAGATCCTTTTTCTGACTGAGAGGGCCATCATAACCAGGGTCCCAACCTCGGGCCACCACCTCCTGAGCACCTGCCCTACTGCTGGTGCTGGGAGGCGCTGGGGAAGCTGAGGTGGAAACAGGAGAACCCAGCATCCACCTCCTAGTGAAGGAGACAAACACATTAGTGACAGTGTGGATACATAATTTCATTGAGAGCTTTGCAAGTGCCAGGCCCTGTTCTAAAGCTTTTGTAGGTTATTAACTTTTGTAGTTTACACAGCAAGTTTTATACACATTTTACAGCTAAGGAAATGAGAGCATAGAGTTGACACTGCCGAATCCAGATATGGTGCATTTAATCGTTAAAATAAGTAAATTACAATGATAGGCACAAAGTATTATGAACAATCGGTGGAGAGGTATGTGACCTATCCTGGGAATGAAGGGGAAGATGAGGGAATGCTTCAGTTGGGTCATAAAAATCAGGCAAAAAAGTTAAAGGAATGGGGAAAAGAATTCTAGGAGGAAGAGGCAATGCGAACAAAAACACAGGAATGGGGAGTGTGATGGGCGTTTGGGAAACTACAAGCATTTTGTATTGTTAGAGTGTGAAGTATGACACAGGCAGTGAAGATTTGGGGTCAAGTCTCAGATCTCATTCTAAATATATGGTCATCTAAATATTTATCTAGTATTTATTGAGTACCTGCTATGTGTGTACCTAAAATGAACGTAAGAAGAAGACATGGCCCCATCCCAGAGGCACACACCATCTAGTGGGAAAGACTAGTAATCTTAATCTCTCTCTGTCTCTTTCTCTCTTTCTCTCTCTCTCCCTCTCTCTCTGTCTCTCTTTTAGGTTCAGGGGTACATGTGCAGGTTTGTTATATTGGTAAATTGCATGTCACGGGGATTTGATGTACAGATTATTTTGTCACCCAAGTAATAAGCATAGTACCTGATAGGTAGTTTTTCCATCCTCTCCCTCCTCCCGCCCTCCACGCTTAGTACACGTATCCATGCGTACTCAATGTTTAGCTTCCAGTTATAGGTGAGAATATGCAATATTTGGTTTTCTGTTCCTGTGTTAGTTTGCTTAGGATAATGGTCCCCAGCTTCATCTATGTTGCTGCAAAGGACATTATCTCATTCTTATTTATGGCTGTGTAGTATTCCATGATGTATATGTACCACATTTTCTTTATTTGAGACTAGTAATCTCTGTTATTATAAAACTGTGTGTGTGTGTGTGTGTGTGTGTGTGTGTGTGTATATATATATAGTTTTTTTTTTTTTTGGACAGATTCTCACTCACTCTGCCAGCTGGGCTAGAGTGCAGTGGCACAATCTTGGCTCACTGCAACCTCTGCCTCCCGGGTTCAAGTGATTCTCCTGCCTCAGCCTCCCAAGTAGCTGGGATCACAGACATGTGCCACTATGCCTGGCTAATTTTTTATATTTTTAGTAGAGACAGGGTTTCATCATGTTGGCCAGGCTGGTCTCGAACTCCTGACCTCAAGTGATCTGCCTGCCTCCACCTCCCAAAGAACTGGGATTATAGGTATAAGCTACCACCTACAGCCAGCCTATAAAATAATATTTTGGATAGGATAATATTAGAGGTACGAACAATATGCTGTGGTTACTTAGATGAGGCAATATTTACTTCTGACTGGAGAAGGAGAAAAGTTTCCTTGAAGATGCTAACATTTTAAAAGAGCCACAAAGTAAATGGAAAAGGAAGTTTCAGGTTTAGAATGCCAAAGGAAAAAAGCACAGCATCATAGATGGCATGAACACATCAAAAAGGTGTGGCTCCGTCATACACCCATGCTGCGAGGGTTACGGAACATTAGTTACCATTATATCTCCAGGGTCACCACAATGCCTGGCATGTGGTAGGAACTAAATAAGCATTTGTTGAATGAATGAAATGAATGAATGAGGTGCTAGTCTGAATGGAGAGCCCCAGAAAATCTAGGTGGAGAAGCAGATCACCACGACTGAGGTGCTGGCGATCCAAATATAGACAAGGAATAATATGTGGAAAGGTGGAAGGACAGGTCACGGTTAGTGAAATTTTGGAACTCACGATTTCACAGGAAAGCAGTTTGGGCGGTAAGAAGAATGAAAATTGAAATGGAATTTTGTAGGTTGTATCAAAAGGCTGCGGAGAAAGTCAGGGCACTGGGAGGCCAGAGTAGTGTTGGTTGGTCACCTATGTCACTGTTGAGGTCATCAATGGTGAAGACAAGAGGTGAAATGGACAGGGAATCCATGACCCAAACTTTACTGTCCTGGGGTTCAAACAGTGACCACAATATGAACGGGGAGAGGACGAGTCACAGGTGGACGCGAAGCCGTTTGAAGACTCTGGAGCCATAGAGTGGAAGAAGTACGGAGAAGGGAAGAATAGGCCAACTGTTCGCCTGGCCCCAAGATATGGGCCACTCAGAAAAGGGGTTACAATTCTAAGGGTTGTAAGTTAGGGTCCCCTTAGGGTGGACTGCAATCAGAGGAAGGAAGTGTTTGAAAGTGTTTAATGATACAACAAATAGTGACCATAGAGTCTATTTTTGTTTAACAATTTAAAAGAGATTTTAGTCTGGGCACGGTGGCTCATGCCTATAATCCCAGCACTTTGGGAGGCCGAGGTGGGCAGATTGCTTGAACTCAGGAGTTCGAGACCAGCATAGCCAACATGGCGAAACCCCATTTCTACTAAAAATACAAAAATTAGCTGGGCGTGGTGGCACACCCCTGTGATCCCAGCTACTCGGGAGGCTGAGGAACAAGGATCACTTGAATCCAGGAGGCTGAGATTGTACCACTGCACTCCAGCCCAGGTGACAGAGCAAGACCCTATCTCAAAATAAATAAATAAATAAGATTTTAGAGGACATTTGTGAAGGGGATTTTTGGAGGGAAATTTTGAAGGAAAAGCTCACTGAGTAGGTAACATTCAGGAAAAGCAACCAGAAACTGTTGTAATACTTTAACATAAGCTTCCATGTTGCCCAAGTTTGAGATTTTTAAGGTATCAGGATAACTTGGAGGGAATATTTGCATTTAGCAGACATATCTCCACAAAAATGTGCAGGCAGCGGCCTAATGTCCTACTAATCTTAGGAAATAATATGAGGAAAAACTTTCATGTTCAAGATGCAGCCTTATGCAATATACATGCTCAAGAAAGTCAGAAGAAAATATTCTGCAATATACAGAAACTGATGAGTCAGAAGAAGTAAACTAATGGCAATTTATCTTCCAGTATTTCAAAATTGGAACAACTTTTTATTTTTAAATAGTTTCACTCTTGTAGATGTGAAGAATGTCTAATTCCACTTAACTGGGCTGTTGTTCTGTTGGGGTGTTATTTAGGATGTTTTAAAAAATATTGTGTTTTTTATTAGTACAAATCAGGTGTTAGCACCTGGATTTTTCACACATATATTATATTTATTTATTTAGAGGCAGGGCCTCTCTGTCGCCCAGCCTGGAGTGCAGTGGTGCAATCTTGGCTCACCATAACCTCCACCTTCTAGACTTAAGTGATCCTCTCACCTCAGCCTCCCGAGTAGCTGGTACCACAGGTGCACGCCACCACACTCGGTTAATTTTTGTATTTTTTGTGGAGACGGGGTTTCGCCATATTGCCCAGGCTGATCTTGAAACCTGGACTCAAGCGATCCACCCGCCTCAGCCTCCCAAAATGCTGGGATTACAATCGTCAGCCACCATGCCGGGCCTCTGGATTTTTCTTTTTAATTATCCAAGCCAACTTGGGTTATCAACATGGATTTAGGAAGAATTTTAGTGTTTCTACTACTTTGCAAGTCTAATTATGGTTTCAATTTATATTCAACATTTGGAATCTGAAAAGTGATTCTGACTTGGTCATTACTATACATAAGAAAAAAAACTATTCTCTCCCCAAAAATAAAATTTGAAGACCTGAATATTTAATAACAACACTTGTGATTAAAAAGAAATTCTCTAACTTCTCGATTTAAACCTTTGATTTGAATTACAGACCAAAAAGAAGTTTGGAAGTGTAAACTAAAATGAAATTTGTGCTATATTAAAGCTTTTCATATAATAGCTTTTTGTTCTTAATAAATATTAAAAGATATATAAATAGTTGGTAAATCAATTTAGATTAAATTTATCCAGATTTCTTTGCCAATTACACTGAAGGGACAGTTATTTGAATGTACAGTAGAGGTATCCTAGAGTTATGAAGATGGATTTTAGAATAGAATGTCTTCTGGATATAAAAATATTTCAAGTTACTTTAGAGTTTACTGGTCCACTCATGTCCTGATCTGGAAATTTCCAGAGAAGATTGGGAATTCCTCCTAAGCTGGCCAGACAGAGTGACATCTCTCTACAGATTCTAGAGTTCTGCCTCTCTCCCACTACACTTCAGAGGTGGCTTTGAAAGACCACCCAGGCCTCCTGACCAGCCCTCTCACGTGGCAGCTCCTATGGGTGCCACATAACCGCAGTCTCTCCACATCGCCTTTCCTCCCCATCGTGGAGGGTACCTTCCTGGTACCAGGAAGGATCTTCCATTTGAAGATACAACTGCCTTCTTGGTAATAATTCCTTTGCCTTGGGCCCACATCCTGGATTCCAAGTAACCAAGGGCAGGCTACTTCCAGTCACACCCAAAGAGATGGCTTGTCCCTCGGCTGGGGCTCAACTTCTGCTTTGGAAACCAGCTGAAGTCCAGGACACAGGCTCCCCAAGACCTCACTAGAGATCTGGTGTCCTTAGACTCTCCCTATTAAACTCCAGCTTATTTACATAGTCACGGGCATTTTAGGACAATAAAAAGAAAGTAAACATCAGAGGCAGGATTTCCTCAAAGACATTACATTGTACATACATGACGGTATGTCCTGATTTCTTTCATGCGATGCTCGAAAATAACCTAAGTAATCCACATCGATTACTGCAGAGAAGCCAGAAGAGTAACTATTCCTGGGGATAGCTGATGTCAACTAGGAGGGGGTGCAAAGGAACTTTCTGGGTGGTAGAAATAGTCTTTATCTTAATGCAAGGAATGATTGCATATGTAAAAATGTATCCAGCTGTGCATTAAGATATGCACATTTTACCGTGTATAAATTACAGCTGAATGGAAAAGTAGAAAAAGAGAAAAACTCTGCTCTGAGAAAATCTTGAATGACAAAAAAGTTAATAAATCACTCAATTTTTCAACTACACTTAGAGAGACCAGGATTCTAAGCTGACTGACCAGAGACCAGTCCTTGAACCTCTCCAGACTTTATCATATCCACTTGTAAAACAAGAAGGTTGAACAAGATGGTATTTAAGGTCTCGTCTACCATGAACAATTCGGCAAACCTGCCGGAGACCATCAGCCATCCAGTGTGGCTTACCACCTCCCAACCTAAGTGAACTCACAGCCAAGCAGCACCTTAACTTTTCATGCCAGGGTTCTCAGTTCTCCTAAGGATGATGGGGGGAGGGATGTGCCACAATAAAACACATCTGCTTCCAGTAATTCCAGTCAGCATATATGCTTTCACCAAACGTAGTCAGGAGATCTCCTAACATTATTGCCACCTAATTGTAAATGCTAACTAAGGAGCCATCAGAATGGCCCACGATACCTCAAGCTCAACATATCGAAACTGAAATCCATCATTTTCACTCAAAAGCCCCCTTCTGTGCTCCCACTTAGTTAATGTCATGGCCATCTTCTTCATTATTCAAATTAGAAAACTCAATGTCCTATTTAAAGTTTTACTAACCTCCCCATAGGGGATAGACTGTTTTATCTTGATAGAACACTGCATTTTTAATATAAAGAAATGCTATTCTTCCTGTAAGCCATCATACCAGAACAATGCCACAGAAAGCATCAATTCCTACTAGTCATAAAAGGCAGCTGGAACATAGATGTGAACATAATGAAATCATACCAAATGTCTCTACCTCCCAGGATGGCTTTGCTAGTTGAAATCCCTGGATTCTGGATTCAGACAGGCTCATAATTTGACTCCCTCACTCCAGTCCCTCTATCCTGATAACCACCCTCCCTAGTGAGGCCAAATTTCTACAGATCTGGTCCAGTTACTCCTTTCCTTACAGACCACCATGATTCCCCCTGTGCCTTATAAGACAAAGTACAATCCCAAGCTTGGTAAGTGATTTACGGCCTAACTTAATTTTCAAGTTTTTTTCCCCTACTCCATACAAGCTTTGCCCCTCACCCACCAGCACCATGTGCCACAGCCTCAGCTATGTCCAGCTACTGATATTCCCTGGACACCACTACAGTTTCCTAAGACTGACTATGTGTCTGCCTGTTCCGGAATTGCTTCCCCTTCATTGAAATCCTGCCCACACAAAATTTTTTTTATCATTTTGCATCTTGATTTATAATATAAAAAATAAGACAGAAGACTTCATTTCCCCAAAAATACCAAAATTTTTACAAGACAATTCATTAGGTGCATTGCCTGGAAAGTAGCAGGAATCCTCATTAGTCAGCATCTTCACATAGCATTTGTCTGAATGGAGTAGTTTATCATTACTCCAAAGACATACTGAAGTTTCATTAAAATTTTTTGATGTAATTTTTCTTCTATCTCACTCTCTTGGATTCTAACGTTTTCTTTTCTCTTTTCTTCTTCTTTTTTTTTTTTTTTTTTTTTTTTTTGAGACAGAGTCTCTCTCTGTTGCCCAGGCCAGAGTGCAGTGGTGCAATCTCAGCAGCTCACCACAACCTCCGCCTCCCGGGTTCAAGCAATTCTCCTGCCTTGGCCTCCCGAGTAGCTGGGACCACAGGCTCACGCCACCACGCCTCGCTAATTTTTGTATTTTTAGTAGAGACAGGTTTTCACTGTGTTGGCCAGGATGGTCTCAAACTCCTGACCTTGTGATCTGCCTGCCTTGACCTACCAAAGTGCTGGGATTACAGGCATAAGCCACCACGCCCTGCCAACACTTTCCATATTATTTACTCTATGTGGTAGTTCATGAAACCTTTCCCTTCTAAAAGATGGCCTGTTAAAGTGTCAAAAAGACCAACAACTAGAATTGGCCTGCCTATGACCATCTGTAAGACAACAGACCCTCTAAGAGAAGAAATCAAAGAAGTTTGAATTCACACATTCTGAGACAGACGGAAGAAAGATATGCTATTATTGCTGGATAATGAACACATGGATTTATGAGAAAAGCAGAAATATATATGAAAAATTTAAATTATAATAAGGTTAGAGACTTTCCATCTGCCATTCTAGGAGCTAACAGTATCTCCATAGGCTTGATATTTTTATAAAAACAAGTGCTTCAAGAAAAGAGTTAACAGTCAGTCAGTGTGTGTTGCTAATGCTGGAGAATTGATTCAACTAGGGATGACACTTGGGACCAATTAATTCAAAGCTGGCTTTAAAAAAAAAAAGTAGATACAATAAATCAGGGAGTAGAGCTTCATTTAAATATAGTGAGGGACTGGGATAGATTACTTGAAAAAGCTCAGAACCAAAGATTGTCTCAAAAGGCCAAAGACAACTATAAGTAAAACAAGTGCTAGGTTTCTATAAGCTATCAAACACTGAAATCAAAACCATGAAAGAAAATACTGGCCAACTGGATGTCAACTGGAAAATTTATACAAAGTTTGTTAATTTGTACTTGTATCCCCTCAATCTATAAAAATTTTAAAACATGTTTTAAAGCAACAAGAAATAAAAACAGTTTGTTATAAATGAAAATTTTCAGGAAGTTATCGTTCTCAAGATGCATTTTACTGAAATTACAAGACAATTTTTAATAGCAATCAAGTAGGAACCTTGAGGAGAAATGGGGAAACGTAAAGACTTACATGAAATCTTATACGGGAGTGTGGTCACAGTAAAAATATATCTTCTTTAAAAAGATGTTTCTATTTCTTTTGTATTGCTGTTTTACCTTTAATTTTTTAATTTTTTTTTTTTTTTTAGTTTAGGTACTTCTCAATTTTTAAGGGGATTGTGCTCTAGAAGTTTCTGATCTAGTTGTTCAGAACCTGAAATGTATTTTAATGTAGACACCGCATTGTATATAGCACTCACATTCCATAGCTAACCGTAAAGAGCTCTGCTGTTGCTGTAGTTGAGTGTTGATTCAAGGTACACAGGACAGGCTGAGATCTGGGTCCTGGCTTCTGGAGGCCATGAGATGTAGAATAGAAATGTTGAAGAACAAAAAGAATTGTTTCTTGTATTTCTGAAGGTCAAGCTTGAGCATGACAAACTTCTCCACAGGGAAAGTTTTTATTTGCCTTTTTGATAGTCAAATCACGGTCCTGCCTCTCCTTTTGTTGGGAGCCTCATTTTGGTGGGTTAGTAAAGGGAACATCTCCAACATTCATAGGAGCATTTGTTTAAAGGGCTCCCACGTGGCTTCCAGCCACTTCTCTCCACTCTGAAACTTCTATGAATTAGAGAATCCCCCTAATTCATTCAAATATATTACGGCCTATATTTTTTTAATATTACAATGATCTGACACAGTTGGGTATTGAAAATAGAGTAAAACCATTACACCACAATTATCCCTTCATCCCTGATGAACATCCTCTTGTCCATTTTTTTAATCATACGAATAAATGAAAAAAATGTGATAAGGTCATAAGAGAGTTAGGAACATTATGTAATCTTCTTTAAAAATAAGATAAGCTGCTCTACCCAGTAAAACCCTAGGTTTCTGCAGCCATATGACAGTCTGATATGCATGCTATGGTCGGTCACGGTGGCTCACGCCTGTAGTCCAGTACTTTGGAAGGCCGAGGCAGGCAGATAGCCTGAGGCCACGAGATCTAGACCAGCCTGGCCAACACGGTGAAACCCTGCCTCTACTAAAAATACAAAAATTAGCTGGGCATGGTGGCGTGCGCCTGTAACCCCAACTACTCAGGAGGCTGAGGCAGGAGAATCGCTTGAACCTGGGAGGTGGAGGTTGCAGTAAGCTGAGATCGCGCCACTGCACTCCAGCCTGGGTGACAGAATGAGAATCTGTCTCAAATAAAGTAATAATAATAATAATATGCATGCTATGCTCTGGTCCATGAAGACCTTCCACACAGTGATTTAGAGGTTCAGACTCCTTTTCTCTGTGGCTCCACCATCGTCTAGAGCCCGGGAAGTCTAGCTGGCAAAGAGAGAAAGGGAGGATAGAGAAGCATTCTCTCTTCTTGACCACACTGAACCAGCGTGAACACATTCCTTGCCCTCCTCCCTTTGGTAAGAGCTAGTCACATGTCTCCACCTGGATGCACAGGGACCAGGAAGGCAGTTACTGGCTGGGTAGCAGCTTTGCGGGAGTGATGATGAAAAGGGGAAAGAAACCTTCTGTGAATGGTTAGTGGTCTCTTTTACAGGTACTATGACACCAAAAAGGAGTAAACTTTAAAGACACCAAGGTAAGTTTCCAGGAGATGCAGCATTTGATTTGCATTGAAGGATGACAGGCAAAAATGAGATAAGGGCATTTTTCTGGAGAGAAAACAGCATAGGCAAATGCAGGTGGGGGAGGAAGACCGTGCAACATAGAAGCAATTGAAAGGAATAAAGCCGAAGCCCAAGGACCACTTCAAAGATACCTCTCTCTAGAGAAATGACCCACCGCCTATCTGTTAAGAGTTTGACAAATGAAATCTGGCTGAACCTCAGGCCTTGTCGGAAATTAGTCATTTTGCTTGCCTTTGCGGATGGTGTTAAAATGATCAAATTTGGTTTTCTGCATCTCTGAGTTTGATTCCTCTGATGAGAACTGATGCGAATGCCAACTGACTTTTTATGAAGAGTGGTTGATATTTAGTATTCTACAGAGTCTTTCTGGGTAAGTGTAACCAGAGCCAGTGAATAATAGAAGCAGTGTATATCTGTCAAGTGTAATTATAACACTGAATTATGCTCATCCTGCATTCCGGTTCCTGTATACATTAGTTTAAACATCAGAACATGCTGGCATTTCAGACCTGTGAGGATTTTACTTTGAAAAATAGCATGCCCTTGTTTTTAGCCATTTTTAACAGGAAAAAAGAACTTATATCTTGTTCAAAATTATTTTATGGTAAAGTTTGACCACTCTGTTTTTTAAAAAAATCTTCTCAAGTTTCTAAAAATAGGGAAGAAATGAGGAATATTTCAGTCTAGTTTTAAATGCCCTCTAATTTTCTGTATTTAAATAAAATCGTATACAATAAAATAATATCTTATTTTGATAAACTGAACTTTCTGATTAAATAGTTGTTAAAGTTACAGAATAGAGTTGCTTATAAAGTCACCAATCTTTGCCAGAGAAAGTGGAAATTATCAGATTGTAACTTTAAAATTATGCAAGTATTGTTTATCGTTGAATGATTTAAAAATTCAGAGCAGCAAAAAGGACAAAACAAAAATTCAGCTATAATCCCATATTCCAATATATTTAAATTATCATTTTGGTGTCTATATTTCTAAACATTTTTCTATGCATTTATATATACTTTTTTTTTACAAAAATGAGATCATAGGGTACATACTGTTTTGTAACCTACTTTTTTATGTAATAATATTTTAAGAACACATTTTCATGTCATTTTTCTTAAGACTCCATAACAATATTTTTTTTTCAACTGAGAACAAGGACCATACCAGAATCTCCAAGAGGGCATGTGTAGTTTGAAAACTTATAATTTTATATTTAGAAAGAAAACCCAAAAATAGCTATTGTTTTGGTAATATAACCTACAGAATATAAAGCATAGAAATTTCCAATTGGCTGGTCGGATGTTTATCTGGGATCTTCTGAGGTTTGTTATATTACCATTAGCCTCCTACATGGGGCATGATTAGATTACTATGTCAACAAATGGGAGCACAGATTTTGAAAGATTGTGAAATACAGTGCCTCAACTGCCAAGCATTCCATTTAACCCACAGTCCCTTGCTGTTGGGCTTAACTTTTGAAAGATAAATTTCCACACATTCTGATCCACTGGCTTCTGGTTGCTCATTCCCAATCATAACATATGATAGCATACTATCTATTTTAAGTATGTGATATGCGATTGCTTTTTATCACATACTCACATATCACAGCCTCAAGCTGCAGGGCAGCTCAAATGATGAAAGTGGAAGACAGGCCGGGTGCGGTGGCTCATGCCTGTAATCCCAGCACTTTGAGAGGCCGAGGCAGGTGGATCACCTGAGGTCAGGAGCTCCAGAAAAACCTGGTCAACATGGCAAAACCCTGTCTCCACTAAAAATTGAAAAAATAGCTGGGTGTGGTGGCAGGTGCGTGTAATCCCAGCTACTCGGGAGGCTGAGGCAGGAGAATAGTTTGAACCTGGGAGGGGGAGGTTGCAGTGAGCCAAGATAGTGCCACTGCACTCCAGCCTGGGTGGCTGAGTGAGAAGAAGAGAAGAGAGCAGAGGGGAGGGGAGGGGGGGAAGGGAGGGATGGGGAAGGAAGGAGGGAGGGAGGGAGGAAACAAGGAAACCACACTGGAAGGAGGAAGGAAGGAAACAAACCACATTGGGAAGAGAGGGAGGAAGGAAGGAAGGAAGGAAGGAAGGAAGGAAGGAAGGAAGGAAGGGAGGGAGGGAGGGAGGGAGGGAGGGAGGGGAAGGGAAGGGAGGGGAAGGGAGAGGGAGGGGGAGGTGGAAGGAATGGAGGGAACGGAGGGAGGAAGGGAGGGAAGGGAGGGAGGGAGGAAGGAAAGAAGGAAGGAAAGAAATAAACAAACAAGGAAACCACATTGGGAAATCCAAGCAAAGATGGGCTCAGCAGGTCACATGGTTTGGATATTTGTCCCTCCAAATTTCATGTTGAAGTGTGACTCCCGATGTTGGAGGTGGGAACCTAGTGGACAGTATTTGGGTCATGGGGGCGGATCCTTCATGAATGGCTTGGTGCTCTTCCCATGGTAATGAGTTCATATGAGATCTGGTTGTTTTAAAGAGCTTGGCACCTCCTCCTCCTCTCTCTCGCTTCCTCTCTTGCCATGTGATGTGCTGCTGTTCCTTCACCTTCCGTCATGAGCATAAGCTTCTGAGGCCCTCTCTAGAAGTCGATGCCAGCACTATGCTCATATAGCCTGCAGAGCCAAGAGTCAAATAAACCTCTTTTCTTTATAAATTACCCAGCCCTAAGTATTTCTTTATAGCAAGGCAAAATGGACTAGAACAGCTGGATAGTACTGCTAACCGATGACCCTATCCCCAAAGCTGTTTCCATTCATTCTCTTTGTTGAGAGTATGTCAAACCATCCCAGGATGGAGGCTGGAGATGAGTTTAACCCCACCTGCAACTGTTCTCTCGATGGAGCTACTCTACAGAAAAATCATGTTCCATTAGTTCACTAAATCGTAACAAAAGTAAATGTACTTGTTTGAACATTGTACAAACTAGTCCTAAAAGGGTTCTCACGTATTTTATATGCGCAGTCTTTAGGGAGGCAAAAATGTTTTATGCAATCTATACAAGAAAGTTATATTTTCAGCTGTTATCCAAAACAAAGGAAGCGTACTCTGTGAAAAATTGGTATTATTGTTTAACAATATCCATTTCCAGAGGAATGCTTTTCTTAAGTAGAAGTTGGCTGACACAACCATAAGGGATGCTGTGAAGTGATTTCTGTCATTTTTCATACATGGAAACATATGAACTCAAGGGTCTACTAACTCTTCTACAACTTTAAAGGAGCACTTATCCTGGGATACTTTCAAACCTGAGATTCTGAGATTCTATATTTTTAATGTTCAACCCTTAGTTTCCTCATTTCTAATATTCATTACTAAGTAGACGATAAAGATCAAGTTAAGCATAGCTTCAGAAAAACTAATAAAATAATTTAAATTGGTTATGCATCTCTTGTGACGATTCTAAGGCAAAAGGCACTTTTATAGAAGTCTTTCACACTTTAAGAAAGCTTGCTATATAGAAAATGATTCAGTTGGGCACAGTGGCTCACGCCTGTAATCCCAGCACTTTGGGAGGCTGAGGCGGGTGGATCACCTGAGTTCAGGAGTTCGAGACCAGCCTGGCCAACATGGCAAAACCCCATCTCTACTAAAAATACAAAAGAATTAGCCAGATGTGGTGGCGCGTGCCTGCGGTCCCAGCCACTCGGGAGGTTGAGGCAGGAGAATAATTTAAACCTGGGAGGTGGAGGTTGCAGTGAGCTGAGATCACACCATTGCACTCCAGCCTGGGCAACAGAGCAAAAGTCTATCTCAGAAAAAAAAGGAAGGAAGGAAGGAAGGAAGGAAGGAAGGAAGGAAGGAAGGAAGGAAGGAAGGAAGGAAGGAAGGTTCTCCTTTCCTCTCTAATGTCTCTCCATTCCCATTTAAAGTCTCTGTTGATCTGCAGCATAATTTTACTTTTTTCTCCACTATTTGTCCAATACTGCAAATGCACTGTAGTTGAAGAGAATCTGTTGTTGTAATGGAAAACAGAATCAATCTCTTTTTATACTCTGAGCCTATAGCATGTAGTATATATGTCCTCATTTGGCACTTTTTAATTTTCATTACAGAGATCTTCTCTGAAGTCATATCAAGGTGACACTGAAAGGATTTGATAGAAAGGAAACAATTTGTGGCAAAACAGAGAGAGAAAAATACTACCTGTGATACAACCTATCGGCAGAGTCACAAGTCAGTCCACAGAAACCAGAAAACAGACGTCCCCTTGGCTGCTTTCCTTCTGATAGACTTATCTAAAGCTCTCACTAGCAAGCATGCTCCTTCCAAAGCCATAGCCTTTCATCCTCAGAGTTCATCTTTGGCTTTTCCTCATTATCAGTGTCCCTATCAAGATAGCCATGCATAGCACAGTTATTTAGAAGGCACAATTAATTGACTTGTATGCTGTCTCCTTGTAAGCTTCAGCTTGGTCTGTGTTGAAACTTGTCAGCTTTTCCCCCAATTCATGTTGTTTCAACCTGCAGTTTTATTACCTCCTTTGGATGCCAAATTCTCCTTTCTCCTTGCACTCTCCAAAGCCATGTATTTTGATGAACTGGCTCTCTCTGACATCACCTCAAACCAACTTAATAAATCACCCCTAGTCTTCTACCAAAGCACATTTCCTTAAATGAGTTTTCTCATTTTGCCGCACAACCTGAATATGGTCGGAAGAAACACTTCTTTGAAGTCCATCCCCTCCTCAATCTGCTCTCCTCTTCATCTCTAGGGGATCCTTAGGTATGAGTTTCAGAGTTTCTCTAAAGCAGCTTCTGGGTTTCCCTTTATTACAACACTCTATCCCCAGAGTAACCATCTGGGACCTTTATCTATTCTTCCAAAATGGGTACTGTCTGCCCAATGAACAGCTGTGCTCTTTCCAAACAAGAGGGTATTTAAAACCCAACTGCAAGTCCTACATGGGGTACAGGGGATTGTTGCCAGCCACATATCATTTTGGAACTATTTTTGCCTTCTTTCTTTTTAAATCATATAGGCCTATTAATATTCAAGGAGTTATTCTCAAAAGGTGGTTAAATGCATAGAAAAACTAAAATTAGAAGAGCTTTGCATTTTAAAGACAGCTTTCTGTTTTTGTATGGCCAATGGTATCTCCCTTTTGCTTCCTTTTCTCTGTGGATGTCTTTGTTTGTGAAGTTATTTTTTAACCATAATAAAAAGCTTAAAGGCCAAAATACATAAAGAGAAATACTTCTTATACTCAAGAGGTTATCGAGATACCAGAGATTTTAAAATGAGTTCGTAACATTGATTCCTAAGCTCCAGGCATTTCCTTGAAGAATTTCCAGAAGACTTCAAATAAATTTTTCTTGCCAATGTTCATTTTCAGATGTGTTTAACACCAAGTTTTCTGGTGTGAATATGCATATATGACTCTAAAAATCTCTACATTCAGAAACTAAAACTATACTAAAAGAAAAATAGGTCATTTTTTATTTCCTTCATAATATGACAGGCAATACAGTAGTTAGGAAAACTAAAGCTCTATATCTAGTCATTACTGGATTTTAGTGTCTCTCAGCCTCAGTTTCCTGACTAATCAGTGAGGGTGGGCTCAGGGGTCGAAGTCTATTCACTGAAGCTTTTAGGTCTTAACATTATTGGATTCAATCACATACTTCTTTTTTTTGAGACAGAGTCTCACACTGTTGCCTGGTCTGGAGTGCAGTGGCGTGATCTCGGCTCACTGCAACCTCTGGCTCACTGCAACCTCCGCCTCCTGGGTCAAGTGATTCTCCTGCCTCAGCCTCCCGAGTAGCTGGGATTACAGGCACCCTCTATCATGCCCAGCTAATTTTTTGTATTTCTAGTAGAGATGGGGTTTCACTATGTTGGCCAGGCTGGTCTCAAACTCCTGACCTCATAAGCCACCCGCCTCGGCCTCCCAAAGTGCTGGGATTACAGGCATGAGCCATCGTGCTCAGCCTCAATCACATACTTCTAAGCTGATGTGATTGTTTCTGTTTTTGTGGAGTTACAACCAGTTGCAAATTTAGAGAGACCACATTCCCCATAAGACTGCATATGCTTCTGACACCAATTGCAAGTTCAGAAGTTCCCCAAACCACCCCCAGGTTTGATAGTTCTGTAGAAGGACTCACAGAATTCACTGAATTCTGCTGCCGAAGGCTGCTATACTCATGCTGCATTATGGGTGAAGAATGCACGTGAAAATCAGACAGGGGTAGAAGCACAGATGGCAGAGTCCAGGAACAGTACCAGATGCTGAGTTTACAGTCAACCTCTCTATATAGATTCAGGAGCACATTTCTTTCCTGGAACGGGTGTGTAACAATTTGCATGGGGTATTGCCAATGAGGGAAGCTTCCTGAGCCTCCATGTTCAGAGTCTTTACTGAGACTCCGTTATATAGGAATGATTGATTGCCCACATGGCTGACCTCAGTTTCCAGCCCCTCAGAAGGCTGGAGAATATAAGCCAAAGCCCCACACCCTTCATCACATTGTTGGTCAATCTGGCATGGTAAGGCCCCATCTTTTTTCTTTTTCTTTTTTTTTTTTTTTTTGAGACAGAGTTTCGCTCTTGTTGCCCAGGCTGGAGTGTGCAATGGCACCATCTCGGCTCACCACAACCTCCACCTCCCAGGTTCATGTGATTCTCTTGCCTCAGCCTCCCAAGTAGCCAGATTACAGGCATCTGCCACCACGCCCAGCTAATTTTGTATTTTTAATAGGGATGGCATTTCTCCATGTTGGTCAGGCTGGTCTCGAACTCCTGACCTCAGGTGATCCACCCGCCTCAGCATCCCAAAGTGCTGGGATTACAGGCATGAGCCACCACACCCAGCCCAGGCCCCATCTTAAATGCCATCTGGTGTGGCCCTACCCCTAAAACACAATGTTAGACTATCTGGAATAACCCAAGGCTCCCAGGCAAATGAAGACATGCTTACCAGGCAGGACATCCCAAGGGCTTAGATATTACCTTCCCAAAGCCAAAGGCAAGGGCCAGACCTCTTGAGGGCAAGGCTAAATTCTCTATTACACAGTTCTGAAAATCTCTCTGTTGAGGACAAGAAAGCAAAGATTCCTAGGACTTACTACTAGAAGGAAACCTGAAACTCCTAATGTTTCTTAAAGTAAGATTCCAGGACCACTTGCGTCAGAATCACCTGGCATTAACAAAATGCAGACTCCAAAGCCCCACCCCAAACCTACTGAATCAGATTCTCTGTAACAGAAGCATTGGAATATGCATTTTAAGCATTTTCCTTTAGCAGTTTTTTATGTAGGCCAAAACTTGAGAATTGTAATTAAGATCCAAGGTCCCTGTTCCTACAAGTAGAGTGAAACTAGCATGCAATAAAGCAAAGGGAGAAAATTCTGCTTCTTATTCCACTGGTGAGTTTATCTTGGGCAAGCCATTAGTCCTCAAACATCATATGTTTGAAAATAACGTTTAGCTACATTTGTTTTAAACAGACATAACTAATGTAGCATGCTCTTAGACTGAGAAAATATTCATTGAGTTACTTTGTGCTCTTGGGAAAGATGCTTGTGGAATACAAGATGGAACTCCATCTAGTTCGGCTGGCCTTGGGAAAATGAGTGGATTTCTCTTTTCAGAGTATCCATGTGATCACTGTTGCCTTCCTAGGCAGGAGTAGTTTCTATTCATCCTTTCATTCATTCACAAATTGGTATCTACTGTGTGGCAGGCAATGTTCTCAGTGCTGAGGAGAGAACAATGAACAAAACAGAAAATGCCTCTGCCTTCCTGAGGCCAGGACCACATATATATTATTCCAGATAGTGATACATGCTATGCAGACTTTTTAAAAATCAGGATTAAAGGGGAAAGGACAGCTGAGAGCGAAGTTTGTTATTTAACATAGAATGTTTAGGGATGGAGTTTCTAATATGATGACTTGTGAGCAGAGAAGTAAACGCTCAGCCACAGAGTTATTTGGGTAAAGTGAACAGCAAGTTCTAAGGCCCTGGGGCAGGAGCAGTTTCAAATGTTGTGAAGGAGAAAGTCCTATGTGGTGGAATTAGAGGAAGACTAAGAGGAGTGGAAATAGATATGGGGAGTACAGACATCTCTTTCAAGGAATTTGGAAACAAAAGGGTGCATAGAAATGAAATGGTAACTTTTGGGATAGATAAGGTCAAAAGAAAGGTTTTATAGTGCCAGTGGTTGTTAAGAGTAGAGATATGTCTCTGTGTGTGTGTGTGTGTGTGTGTGTGTGTGTGTGTGTGTGTTTGTATAACAACCCAGTTGTAGAGGGAGGGGAGAATTGTCAGAGTGGTGTCCTTGAGCTGGTAGGAAGGATGGCATCCCGTGTATAGGTGCAGCAGTTGGCCTTGAATTAGGAACATAGATGAACTCTTTACTTCTTTCTCCTTATCTCTCTGATTCCCATGGCGACCTTATTTTCAGCCTTCCTGCCTCTTCTCATGACCCTTTCGTGTTAAATAAATCCTTTTATCTTCTGATGTACAGTTAGTACTTCATTCAGAAAAAAAATACAGGAAACAAAAAAAGATATTGATAACACTGTTCACCATAGAGTGAGGCTGAAATATCTGTTCTACCAATTACCAGTTTTGTTGTATGACTCAAATGAGATTTATTGTACAGAAGATCCCCCAGGAAGCTGCCACCCCTCGAACCTTATTTTAGAATGGAAAAAACGTATCATTACCAAAACTAAACAGTGTTAGCTGGTCTGCCCATCATGCTCATGCTATATAACTTTCCTTCTCTTTTCTCTTATCCTGTTCTGTACTGAATGGCCAAATTTTTTCTGCTACTTCAACTGAAACTGTGGTCTAATATCTAAATGCTCCCTCACCTGCTGAGAAAACTTAGAGCCAAAAACACCTGGTATTGGTCAGTTGTTAAATTTATCGCTCAATATACTAAGCTTGGAGTGATTTGTTGAGTTAGAATGAGAGCAAATAGTGCCACCTGCTGGAATTACACTTGGAAGGGGAAGCGTGAACATGCCAAGAGCTCTCCATGGTTTTGTCCCAATCATTACTTTAAGCCTTTCAGATGAAGTCATGAGCCTGCTTTATTAGAAAGTAATTTCTTCCACCTATATTCTTTTCTGATGGCAATATGCCACCTTATGTATTTCTCTTTTAGTATTTCTCTTTTCTCCCTGTAATGATTCAGTATCTAAAATTACCATTAAGACCAGCTGTATTTCATTTTATTTCTCTTAGAATCTCTTGAAAAATTATAGAATGTTGCCATTTGAAAGAACCTTAGAGGTTCTCCGTAGTTTCAAACACATTTTGGACACAGGAACTTTTGGGAAACTATGGATATAATCCTCACTTTGGACCTCAAACTGAGGCCTGAAGCGTGAAAAGTGAAAAGACCAAACAGCTGAGGCTCTATATCAGTTAAGATGCTTTCAGTTACAATAAAAATGGCTTGAGCAATAACATAACAGCATATCTCACATAAGAAATCCTAAGGTAGATGGCTCTGGGATTAATTTAAAAGTTGAGTAGACCAGGTGTGGTGGCTCATGCCTGTAATCCTAGCACACTGGGAGTCTGAGATGGGTGGATAGCTTGAGCCCACGATTTCGAGATGAGCCTGGGCAACATGGCAAAACCCCATCTCTACAAAAAATACAAAAATTATCTAGGTGTGGTGGTGTACTCCTGTAGTCTCAGCTACTTGAGAGGCTGAGGTGGGAGAATCATCTGAGCCCAGGAGGTCAAGGCTGCAGTCAGCTATGATCACACTGCCACACTGCAGCCTGGGTGACAGAACAAGACCCTGTCTCAAAAAATACAAATAAAGAATTTTTAAAAGTTGAACAATGTCAGCCATGACCCAGGCTCATCCTCTGTCCTCTCTGTCCTCTGTATCTCTGACATTTGTGAGGCAGCTCCAGCAACATTAAGAACCACAGCTTCCCACCCAATATTAAGGGGCAGAAAAGGGACTGTCTTTTCCTTATAACTCACCAAAAGACTCCACTCATGTTTCATTGGCTAGAAGGGAATTATGTGTCTCATCCAAAGTGGGTAGCTGGCAAGGAGCCTGGAATTGCCATCTTTGCCTTCATTAAATCCAGATCCATCCTGTGGGCCTTGGGTAGGGCTGTCCTTATGCAAAGTGCAAGACTCTGGAAACACAGAGATTCCAGGGCAAAATCCGGTTAGCTCACAAAGAAAAAAGGGAAAGTGACTAATTATTGGGAGAAAAATCTCCATGGGTCTCTTCCACTTTTGCCTGCCTTCTGAGCAAGAAGCATTGACAGCTTTGTTTATACCTTTTTTAAGGATGTGTGTATAGCTAACAGCCTTGGAAGATACAGATAGTGTCTTCCTCTGGGACAGAGGGTAGATTTATTTCATGGCCAGAGTAAGAAATATAATGTCACTCTCCGGGGCAGAAATTGAGCAAGTTTGCTAGTAGCTACTGTAAAAAGATTGGGGTTTCCTAAGTCCAGGGTCCCTCAGCTGTGAAGCAAACTTATTGCATGTGCAGCATCCACCTGGGATGCCCTGCATTCCCCTGCAAGGGAAAGCAATGTGAACGGGAAGCTCAGGCTGCCTGCTGTGTTGTGAGTAAAGAAGTCCTTTGTCTCTGACCCAGGAGTTTCATGTCTTCTGCCAGCATCATCAGACTGTGGCCATGTTAAACTATGGTTCTGCCAGCATCATCAAACCATGGCTAACTTGTTAGCCTGCAAGTGGGGTAAAGTCTCAGACCCTTCCCAGTTCTTGATACTCATGGAAAGGCAACCATTCATGTTTGGCACAGTGTTCTTTCCAATGAGCCAGGCTATATGCATCCAATTCTCAAATACTTATTTCTGGAAATGAGAATTTGTTCGGTATATAAGAAATTCCTTTTTCACAGGCAGAAACAGGGCAACACTTCAGTCTCCAACTGGAGACACACATTAAGCGAGGACAGTGTCATTGGCTCAAGTGTCTTTTATGCTGTCTCCCTTTTATTCGCTCACTCTCTCTATAATTATCTCTTTTAAAATGTCAGTTGCTCTCACCCAGAAGACCAAGAGCAATCAGCCACAAACTGAACTTAGAAGCTTTTAAAACACACTGGCTGTCTGACTGGGGGATGGGATTTCTCAAAGGCTTCCCGCAGCAATGTCAGGGAAGCTGACATTGAGTGGCTGAGAAAAAAGAGCCCTTTCCTTGGCTCTCACAGTGGGTCTTTCAGATCCTTCCTGAGGAAGCAACGGAAGGGGTGTGGAATGTGCTGACTTCATAAATATTTCTCCAGCAGAGCCTGAATGGAGGCTGTTTGGGAAGAAAGTTGCTCGTGGGGTCCTTTGGCCTTGAGTCCCTCTTACTGTATCCCATTAGGGTGAGAGGCTCTGAGCTACGGCATCGTCCTGGCAACTTTCTTCCCTTCTCCAGAATAAAATATTGATGTTAAGGTGACGGTGAAGAAATAGGGGATCTATTGGGACAAGCAAAAAGTATAGATATTTTCTAGCGACTTCTGGCACTCAGAGTTTTTCCAAGTAGTGACAGTTTGAAGACCTGGACACGAATTCATCATAGCAGTAGGAGAATCACAGAGGAAATTAGAACAGCATTTATCCCTACGAGTCAAACCTTAGGGTTAAACTCAATTTATCCCTAAATTCTATTTCCTTGATGGCAGTTGATGCCTTTAAAATGAAACAATCTTTCCTACTTAGCCCAGGAACCCTCGTTCTCTTGCTGTTCTGACAACTTACATTTAAAAAATGCTCCTGCTAAAATACAGTGTTATGAGAACAGAACAGATTTAATCTGAAACCAAGGCTACTTTTTCCTCATCTGCTGTATCAGAACTACAGAGAAAGATCACACAGCCTGTGGGTCATATTATCATCTTCCTGCATTCTGATCATACTTCCATGGAAACCTTGATGGAGGTCACTGGCCTGCAAGTTCAATCCAGTCCCAATGACCCCTGGAGGCAGGGGCTTCTAATTTAGATGAGATATTTTTCTGAAGTGTGTGTCCAATGACCACAGGTGTTGAAATGAAAGTTCTCTCGCTAACGACATGAAGGATCAAAATTCCTTGGTACAATTAGGTTGATTAAATTGAGCTCTGTGTCTAATATCCCTGTAGCTCAATAAAGTTAATGCAGCTTTCCAAGGGGCCCAACACAGAGGCAGGGAACAGTCTAGGTCCTGAGAGAATCTGGCCCACCATGGTTTCTAAATTAGAAGTTTGATTGCTTGTGACATCGTCTTAAAATGGTACCAGCCAAAAGAAGCTGAATTTTCCATTAGCCCAGGAAAAAAAAATGACAGATATTTAATTAAACTGCTTAGAGATTAGGTGGAAAGCTTATTGATGGACAGAGGGGCTGAATATCTTTATAAGCAAAGTTAGGCACTGGTGTGCCACATCTTTAATGTTGAGAAGAATTCACCCAGCCTAAGGGAGCTGAAGACGTGTGTGCTGCTTCAGCCTGAGGCTGCCTCTCCTGTCAATCACAAGAAAAAATATACATTTAAAAAGCTTGTTTATAAAGCACTAGGTGGTCACTGAGGAACTTAACATAAAATATAAAATGTGAAATTAGAAAGCTACTTATAGCTAAAGTTAATAAAGCAACCACCCAATCCATTTGCCAATTGTTGAGAGGTGACTAATTGCAGAGGAAGGTTGATTTGGAGGTGATCTCTAAAAAAAAGAATTTGTGGTCAGTGCTAGAGGGTAGGTTATGAGAAGGAGCCTACAACCCAGATGGGGAATAACCAAGGTTTGCAACAGACGATGTACGACAGGGATTATTCTCCAGAAATGTTGTGCTACCTTTCAGGTAGGCACAGGTGGTCATAAAATGTAGGTCACCCTCATTACACCAACAATAGGTCACCCTCATTACACCAACAATAGGTTACCCTCATTACACCAACAATAGGTCACCGTCATTACACCAACAATAGGTTACCCTCATTACACCAACAATTCAAGGGTCCCCAACTTTCAAAAGAGTATAAAGATCAATGAAATCAAGTTTCATAAATTCCCCCAAAGCAGTAGCTCTCAACTCTAGCTATGTGTTAACATTTCCTGGGGAGTTTTTTTAAAATACCAGTGCCAACTCTTGACCAACTGAGTCCAAATCTCTGGACACAGGTGTTTCAAGAGATCTCCAGGTGACTATGAATCACTTCCCAAGGAGCTACTTACTGAAAAGGTAAATTGTATGTGGAATTAGAAGATATCAGGCTCTGAAATCTGACAAACCTTGGTTCAGTTCGTGACTCCACTAACTTACTGAATCTAAGACACTCAACATGCGCTAACTTCTCCAGACTTCAGTCTCCTTATCTGGAGAGGGTCAATGATGGTCACATCTTGGAAGGCTTCTAAAATTAAATAAGGAAATAAATATATACCTGACACATAGACCCCCCAAAACACCCTTGGTTATTAATGGTTAATGATTGACATTTTATCCTTCTTCCATTGATTTTGCCATCGACCTTTGTAGGACGTGACAGGCTTAGATGATTTTTCCTCTCCCTGCTTTGTTTGTCGTCTAGAATTTACTGCTATTTGGTATCTGGGAGAAAAATACTCATGTTTTTCATGCTTTCTGCTCCTCCAGCTGCCACAGAAGTGTCCTTTTCATTTGATGTGGGAAATGGGCCAGTAGAGATTGTAGTGAGGTCACCAACCCCTCTCAACGATGACCAGTGGCACCGGGTCACTGCAGAGAGGAATGTCAAGCAGGCCAGCCTACAGGTGGACCGGCTACCGCAGCAGATCCGCAAGGCCCCAACAGAAGGCCACACCCGCCTGGAGCTCTACAGCCAGTTATTTGTGGGTAAGTAATGGAAAGGTAACCATGGCTTCCCTCTGTTGATTTTTAAGAGCCTGCACAATACAAAAAAAAAAAAAAATCAGCCTATGCAAGGTTTGATATAGAGATCCTTCCAAAAGTAAAGGTGTTGGCCTCTTGTAGTCTCCTTCAAGACAGAATGGAATAAGGAAGAAGTTTCAGGAGACCTAGATCTCGTTCCACTTCCACTCTTGGGAGCTCACTGTCCTCAGCTATAAAATCAGAGTGCAGGCTGAGACATCTCTCAGGTCTCTCTAATATCTGCAATTTTAGGTTTATGGTTTTAGAAGTGTATAAAGTTATTTGATCATTTGGGGCACTTGTAACTGTGTGGAAGGAAAGGAAGGAAGGAAGGAAGGAAGGGAGAGAGGGAGGGAGGGAGGGAGGAAATGGGCTAAGTTCAGATTTTTTTGAAATGATAAATATAAAGCCATTCCTTTCTTGCCTATTCTCAAGGTTCTAGGCAGAGAAAGATTTAGACTTTTCCTGACATAGGAAAAAAGATCAGTACAAAAAAGAAATTTAAACAGATCAAAAAGTTAAACTACCTATGCAAGAAGTGGATCCAGACACCCAGTCTAATCTTTTTCACCTGTCTTTCTGCTACTGACATATTTCAGATGAACCTAAAATTACTTCAAATTCATACCTGCTTCCCATGGCTAGTTGAATTTTAAATTTTGTTTTTGAGAATATTCATATGTTAGGAAATTAGCAACTTTTCCTCTGTTGAATGAAATAAAGAAGTGAGTTTGAAGGACTTTGTGGATGCATCATCTTAGACCCCTCTCTAGGGGGTCAATTGATCAGTGCAGTCAACTGTGGAAGTCTCAGACAAAGCAAGATAAGAATGTGACTTGGTTGCTGTTCATATTCATAACACCTGCCACTTGGGCTCCACCCTACGTTACAGCCTCACTGAGAGCCAGTTAATTTTAACAAGGGGCAGAGTCCCCACAGTGTCTTTCATAGTTGTGTTGGGAAGCTTGAAGAGCGGTAGAATGTCATTAAAGGAAAGGTAAAATTAGATCTCCATTCATTTTGTGTGATGTCGGCCAACTACAAAACAAAGGTGTGGGTCAATGAGCTTTGAAAGTGAGACTGACTTTTAACAACCACATCAGCTGGGGCTATAAAAGAGTTATAGATTTAGAAATAAAGTATTTCCTAATTACAACTGGAAATCAGCCCTTTCCAAATCCTTCCCTCAAGTTATAGATCACAAAATTACACATTATTTTTTAATTAGCTAAATATCAGGTCCATTGATCCCTGCTGAGCACAGTGAAGAAATTTCACTTCATCAACATGTGTGGCCCAGATTAGCTAGGACAAGTTTCTTCCTAAATACTGTTAATTCTGAACATGCTGGGTAGATTCTATCTGGTTTTCATCATAACAGGTGACCCTACTTGACTCAACTTCTCGTTTTTTTGACCCTGCCCCTGGATATAGAAGTCCAACTTTAGTTTTGTTCCTTTCTGTTGGCTAACTGTGGCTGTGTGTAAGAATTTTGAAGACCTAGTAAGGTTGTAAAATGAAGAGATGGAAGAGTATTTATTATGGTCTTGGAAGGAACATCAATTCACTTAAAGAAGGTGACCCAATAATAACTTAAGAAAAGAGCAAGGGCCTGAGATCAGAATTCTACAGAACCATGGAATATAAGGGATAAACAGAAAAAGAATATCTCAGGAAGAATGAAGAGGAATAGAAATAAGGAAAATTAGGAGAGAGTAATGTCACAAGAGGAGGAGGATTTGATTAAAAAGGTAATGGCAAATAATATCAAGCACCATGAGTAAAATAAGGCTAGAAATGTGCGTGTGTGTGTGTTTTGAGATGGAGTCTCATCCTGTGGCCAGGCTGGAGTGCAATGGTGTGTTCTCAACTCACGACTCACTGCAACCTCCACCTCCTGGGTTCAGGTGATTCTCCTGCCTCAGCCTCCTGAGCAGCTGGGACTACAGGTGCATGCCAGTATGCCCAGCAAATTTTTGTATTTTTAGTAGAGAAGGGGTTTCACCATGTTGGCCAGGCTGGTCTCAAACTCCTGACCTCAGGTGATCCACCCACCTCAGCCTCCCAAAATGCTGGGATTACAGGCATGAGCCACCACTCCTGGCCTGTGTTGTTTTAATTTAGCAATTGTAAAACCATTGATGACCGCAGAAACAGAAATTTCAGAACAGGAGGCTGACGTGATGAGTCAGCAATTTCTTTTGACTAGAAAATAGTCTCTAGTCCCAGTTTCTAATTCCTGTCACCTTAAAGGGAGGCACAAGGCACATCTCTCAGATATGAGCTACTTTAGCCAATTTGTGAAATATTGTTCGGCAATAGAAGTCTACCTCAGGTGAAGTGAGAGGGGTTGTTACAAAAAAAAAAAAAAAAAAAAAAAAAAAAGGACGGCCACGGTGGCTCACGCCTATAATCCCAGCAATTTGGGAGGCCGAGGCAGGCGGATCATGAGTTCAGGAGTTCAAGACCATCCTGGCCAACATAGTGAAACCCTGTCTCTATTTAAAAATACAAAAATTAGGGCTGGGCGCAGTGGCTCACGCCCGTAATCCCAGCACTTTGGGAGGCTGAGGCAGGCGGATCACGAGGTCAGGAGATCCTGACCATCCTGGCTAACACGGTGAAACCCCATCTCTACTAAAAATACAAAAAATTAGCCAGGCATGGTGGTGGGTGCCTGTAGTCCCAGCTACTCAGGAGGCTGAGGCAGGAGAATGGTGTGAACCCGGGAGGCAGAGCTTGCAGTGAGCCGAGATCGCGCCACTGTACTCCAGCGTGGGAGATAGAGTGAGACTCTGTCTCAGAAAAAAAAAACAAGACTCTAAAACTAACACCTAGTTCAACAGCTATGAATTTCTGGAGCCACTTATCTCCAAACTATTCAGTTAGAATTTAGGGACTTAGGTGTTAGTCTCAGTTCACCTCTAATATAAAAGCATTTTCTTGACCAACTATTACCATCTTCCCTCTCTGAGTATCTTCTATTTCTATGTTTTGTTTGTTTGTTTGTTTGTTTTACATGGAGTCTTGTTCTGTTGCCCAGGCTGGAGTACAGTGGCATGATCGTGGCTTACTGCAGCCTCAACCTCCCAGGCTCAAGGGATCCTCCCACCTCAGTCCCCAAGTCGCTGGGACTATAGGCTCATGCCACCATGCCTGGCATGAGGTCTCCCTATGTTGCCCAGGCTGATCTCAAACTCCTGGGATCAAGTGATCCTTCCACCTCAGCCTCCCAAAGGGCCGGAATTACAGGCATGAGCCACCATGCCTGGCCTCTTCCAATATTAGACATTTTTTATTACATGCTTGGTAATGATTGAACAATACCAGGGTTGCCAAGTGGTCAGTCTTCTCACAATGGTGTGTGGTTAACAATATGGTCTTTGACTACCACCTCTGCCTCTTGCCAATTGAGAAACCACTGACAAATTGCTTAATATTTCTGTGTTAATTAGGAATACAGCTCCTACACCACAGTATTAAATGAGATATTCCATGCTAAGCACTCAGGAGAGTGCCTCGCCTAGGGCCCATAATTATTATCATTATTATTAATAATAGTAGTAGTAGTAGTATTTGAGACAGGGTCTTTCTCTGTCATCCAGGCTGGAGTAAAGTGGCGTGATCTCAGCTCACTGCAACCTCTGCCTCCCAGGTTCAAGTGATTCTCCTCTCTCGGCCTCCTGTGTAGCTGGGATTACAGGCATGTGCCACCGTGACTGGCTAATTTTGTACAGAAAGGGTTTCACCATGTTGGCCAGGCTGGTCTCAGACCCCTGACCTCAAGTGATCTGCCCGCCTCAGCCTCTCAAAGTGCTGGGATTACAGGCATGAGCCACTATGCCCAGCAGGTCCATTCTCATTAAATGTGAGTTTCTTTTTCCTTTACTATCCTTTACCTTTTATTCCCTTTATTTTCTTCTTCCTCCATGTAATAGTTACCCTTCTCTTAAAGAAGCCTCTTTCAATGGGCTCATTACTTCTTTCTTGAAATATTGACTTGAAATGTGATCACTTCCACTCACCAACCCTACAGGAAAGCTCACATGCAGAGATGTCCCTCAATATTCAGAATTATTCTGCTAGTCCTCAGCTTACCTGCAGAGGCCACAGAGCAGCAAACTAAGGCCCAAGGATTTTTTCACAGTCAGCCAAGAAATCAGAAGTTCATCTGAAAACATCACACCAGCATCCCTGCAACAGCTAAGATATGTGACAGAATGGCCCAAGAGCTCCACCTAGGTTCCGGAAGGAAGGGCTTTCATACAAATTAAAGCTGAAACAGACTGCAAATAGTTCTTGGCTTTGCACACAGAGCTCTACAGAAGGCCACCTTCCACCCACTAACCTGTGTTAATGTAATTGCCTGAAGGGTTTTTCTTGCCCGCTACACAGGTAAACCAAATTCACTGAGACAATGTTATTGCAGTAAATAAAGCGTTTAATTAACACAAGGACAGCCAAGCAGAAGGACTGGAGTTATTACTCAAATCAGCCTCTCTGAGGACTCAGAGGCTAGGGTTTTTAAGGACAATTTGGTGGGCAGGGGGCTAGGGAATGGGTGTTGCTGATTGGTTGGAGATGGAATCATAGGGGTGTGGAAAATTGTCCTCATGTGCTGAGTCTGCCTCAGGGTGACAGCCACAGAACTGGTTGAGTTCTGCGTCCCAAGTCTGGATGGAGGCAGGTGGTTTCCAGAATGCAAAAATCTGAAAAAAAAATCTCAAAAGACCAATCTTAAGTTCTACAATAGTGATGTTATCTATAAAAGCAACTGAGGAAGCCACAAATCTTGTGACCTCCGGCCACATGACTCCTGAGCATTAAGGGATTCTAGAAACTACACCTACATTTTAACAGAGTTCAGGCCTCTCCCATAATTCTAATCTCATGGCCTTTCATTGGTTTTACAAAGGCAGTTTCAATCTTCCAGCCAGGAGGGAACCAGTTTTAAGGAGGGACAATTATCATCCTTGCTTTAAAGCTAAACTCTAGCTGGGCACGGCGGCTCACGCCTGTAATCCCAGCACTTTGGGAGGCCGAGATGGGGGGATCACGAAGTCAGGAGATCGAGACCATCCTGGCTAGCACGGTGAAACCCCGTCTCTACTAAAAATACAAAAAAATTAGCCAGGTGTAGTGGCAGGCGCCTGTAGTCCCAGCTACTCGGGAGGCTGAGGCAGAAGAATGGCATGAACCCGGGAGGCGGAGCTTGCAGTGAGCCGAGATCGCGCCACTGCACTCCAGCCTGGGTGACTGAGCAAGACTCCGTCTCAAAAAAAAAAAAAAAAAAAAAAAAAAAGCTAAACTCTAAACCAAATACCTCCCATGGTTAGTTTAGCCTGACCTATGCCCAGGAAGGAGCAGGGACAGCCAGGCTGTGAGGCTAGAAGCAGGACGGAGTCAGCCATGCTAGACTTTTCTTGCTGTGTGATCTTTGCAAAGGTGGTGTCATTAGCGAGGCCAGGCTCACATGTCCTTTTGCAAAGTAACCGAAAAAAAAAAAAACAGAGAAGACACAGTTCACCTCACTGCACATCTAAAATATAATTAGAAGCTGTCATCCCAAAAGGGTTAACACAGGTCTTTTGGAAGTTGTAAGAATCCAGAGATTATTCTGGTTTAATCAAAAAGTAACAAATACATTTAAAAACTAAGAGACACAGAAAGAAAAAAAGCACTTGCTGGTATTTGTCTGAAAAGTGCAGGAAACTTTTCCCATTTTTTGATCCAAAATGAGTGTCCAGCATATGACGAGCTCCCTGGATGGCCCAGCAGAAGCACTTAAGCCACATGTTGATCTGAAGCCTCAGCCAGCCCAGGTGTTCGGACCTGGGCTGTCCGTGGGCCAGATTTTTCTTAGGCGGTGGAGAAAGCAAACAAGCTCATGGTCATTGTCTAAGCATGAACAATGCCAGGCTGGATTGAGCAAAGCCAGCTTTGGCAGAGACATACAAGGAGTTTGGAGCCCTGACAGCTGATAGCAGCGGCAGGAGTGGGAGAAGGCAAGATATCTGCTGGGCCCCCAGCCTGGGAGGCTGGCTGCCAGCCCAGGGCATGGCCAGGAGCTGGCAAGCAAACACCACTGCGGGGAGCCAAGCAGGCTGTTCAGGTCAGGGAGCTAGGACAGGGTTAGCATGCAGCAAGCTAGACACTAGCCAGAGCATGCAACTGCTCTTGGCAGTCATTAAGGGAGGAGATCAGAGTTACAAGATCTGGAGGCCATTTCAGACAGCTTCAGGAAGAAGTCAAGCTCCTAAGTGGCTCCTTGACAGAGGCTAGGTCATCTTAACTCATGACAAATGTCCGTGCTCAATTTACTTGGCTCTGGCCTCTTCTGATATCTCTCTAGAGGTTAAAGGGAACCATCTCTTTTGTGCAGTCCAAAAAGGAGTTGAAAAATCACCCTCAGTGCTTCAAGCTCTTTTGCGTTGGGCAGAAAGCCTGACTGAGACTCAGTGGAAGGCACGCTGTCTTCAGGAGGACTCAGAGACTACCTGAGAGTGGGGAAGCCCGCAGCCTCTTCTTCCTCTGACAGTTTGTCTATCAGGAGACTTTTTTCTCCTGGGTGGCAACCTGAGTTTATGGAAGAGTTGAGGTTTATTAAATGGACGTATAAGCAACTACAGACTGAAATGTTATAACCATTCTCTGAGTCCAACCTCCCCAAATTCTAAAATACAGCTTGTTTGGTCAGCTGCTTCTCATACTCTCTGTATTCCAAAATTGCAAATGGATCATTCCAGTGCCATCTGAAATGCAGTATCATTGAGAGACCAAAGAGAAAATCGCATTTGTGTGTGAAGGAGAAAAATAGAATTCTAATAATGAAATTCACCCAAATCTATGTATGAATAAAATGGCTGTTTCTCATATCTAAGAAATTGATAATAAAAGATGTACAACTCAGGCCGGGCATGGTGGCTCACGCCTGTAATTTCAGCACTTTGGAATGCTAAGGCGGGCAGATCATCTGAGGTCAGGAGTTCGAGACCAGTCTGACCAACATGGTGAATTTCTGTCTTTACTAAAGATACAAAAATTACTCAGGCATGCTGGTGGGTGCCTGTAATCCCAGCTACTTGGGAAGCTGAGGCAGGAGAATAGCTTGAACCCAGTGGGCAGAGGTCACAGTGAGCCAAGATTGTGCCACTACACTCCAGCCTGGGTGACAGAGTGAGACCACATCTCAAAAAAAAAAAAAATGTACATCTCAAATTGCAGGAATTATAACCTAGAGAATGTGTGCCTGCCCCTGTTTCCTGCAAACCTGCCTCAAAAGCAACCACGTGAATGCTGACTGAGACACCCCGGTGAACCCCAGGGCCAAGTGCTTCCCATGCTTCCCCTCAATGAGTCCACACGAGTCTATAACATAGATAACATTGCTAATTCTTGTTTTATTCTCACATTAAAGATTAGTTGACTTACCGAAGGTCGTGCATTTAGGAAGAGACAGAGATGGGATTTGGTTCCAGACAGTCTGACTCCAAAGACTCAGCGCTTTAATCATTCCTCTTGTCAAAGCAAAAATTGCACTGGGCAAAGTTGAACAGGCAAGGAAGATCTTCATTCAGGGCTGTTGCGACAGGGTAGAGAAGCCAGAATGCAGTCGAGCTCGCCTCCACTTCAGCTAAGGGCAGGAGAATTTTGTTTCTTTATTTTGATTTTTTGGTTTTTTTTATTTCACTAAAATACAATGGGAAAGTTTTTACAAGCTGGGATAGGAGGGATCATAGGGTGTCTGTGTTTGCTGATTGGCTCTACCCAAAGGAAAAGTAAACTTTCACAACTTGGAGTTAGGCTCCCACCCTCCCGTGGAGGGGAGACAGGGTGCTATTTTCCTTGACAATTACCATTTCAAAGAGATGACTCCCAAGTTTTTGAAAAAGCCATTCCTGGGTTGTAAAACTGGCAAACAGCTTTTTAAAAAATTTATATCTCAAAAGGGCAGAGAAAGAATTAACAATAACAAATTTTCTAAAGTAAGTGCTCTTAAAAAGTGAGGTCAGGGGTCTAGGGTGGAATGGAGGGGTCCTATGTAAAGTTTAGTCAAGCTGAAGGCAAAGTTCAGGCCCTCTTGGTCAGTCTATACCAGCGTCCCCTGACTGAGATGACCCTGTGGCCCAGAGGGTATGTGGAAAGGTGCGGTGACACTGGGTGCTCCCACAGCTTCCCACAACGTGCAGGAGAATCCATCCCAAGGAAGATTTGCAGGCCCCACGTGCAATACCGGCCCCTTGTGGAGCACTCTCCCAGTTATGGAGTCTATGGGAGAGACTGAAGTTGACAGGCAGTGGTGAGGCTGGACATCAGGCAGCCCTGGCTGGTATTATGCAGATTATAAAGTCGCCATGGCAAAGATCTAGGCCTGCAGAGGGCCACTGTCAAACGCAAAGGGTTTGGTTTAACGAGAAGTTAATGCAAAAGCACTCTTCTCAGGGAATGAGACTTCTTACTTGACAGTCTCTATGACATGGAAATAATGTTTTGTTTTTGTTTTGTTTTGTTTTGAGTTCCTTTGGTAAAGCTTTTATAAAGTCGTCAAAGTCAGCATGGATCTCTAAGTCTCAGACACATTCTTCGGGGCTTTGCAGACTCTCTCAGCAGCATGTCTCCTGCGCTCTTTCCTGAAATACTTTCTTCCCACAGATTCCACAGCCGTGTGCTGTCCTGCTTATTTTTCCTACCAAGCTGGCCATCACTTAGTCTCTCCTGCATTCCCTCCTTCCTCCGCTTGACCACTAAGCATTGCAGTGTCACAGAGCCTTCCTGTCTTCTCATCCGAATATTGTCTTGGATGATCTCATTCAGCCCACCATCCAATGGCTTCTGATAATAATTTGTGCCAATGTCTCTCAAATTTAAATCTCCAGGCCTCTCTTCTCTCAGGAACTCTAGATCCACTTATCCTACTTTCTACTTTGTGTTTCAACTTAGATATTAAATGGGCATCTTAGAATAAACATGATGGGAAACAACTCTTGATGCCTCCTGGAAATTTGTTCCTCCAAAAGCCCTCCCCATCTCAGTAGGTGGCATCACCATCTAATCCACCCATCCACCCTAAATTTGGAGTTACCCTTGATTTCCTTCTTCCCTTTCTTTCTTCTCTTTCCCTCATCACTTCCTATCCAATAGTAAGCCCTGTGAGTCTACCTCCAGACTGTCCCTCAAATGCAGCTGAGGCAGGAGAATAGGGTCTGGAGGCAGGGAAGATAGGCAGATTCATGCTGACTTCTTGGAACTAAATCAAATGGGAACGCTTCAGCAATGACAGGAAGGTGAACGGCTGTGTAGCTTCACTTCATCCTCTCCATTTACTTATGCCACACACTGAGTAACATCCTTGCCATTTACATAGGGTGCATACTGAGTAAATGACTTTGTCACTTGACTTCGTCTTCTTCATTTACATAGGGCATATACCAAGTAACCAATGGGAAACCTCTAGAGGGTGTTGAAACCCCAGAAAATTATTATTATTCAGAAATAAATGAATACGTTTATTTATGTGTCCTCCCCCTAGAACGTAAGCTACATACAGCATAGACGGAGGATAGGGTCCAATAACAACTGGTCAATGGTTACCCAATAAATATTTGCTGAGCAAACATCTGGATGAATAAATAAGTGATTGTGATTTTTCTGGGTTAATATCCATATTCAAAATTAGATCATCTCCTTTCCAAAGCAAGAAGGGTTTTTCCTTATAAACTTTCTCCAGAATTCTTTTCTCAAAATGTGATGATATTTACCATCTTGGGAAATATCTTTTTACTGGGAACCACAGACTGAAATCAAGCATGACAGAAGCAGAAGCAGCAAAAAAAAAAAAAAAGTCACAGAGAAAGTCAGCATATTATGGAAGACAGCATTTCAAATCAGTCTAGAGCCTGAGCATAGTTTTCAGTCTTCCTGATATCAAATTGGGGTCTTGCCTGTTTGGCGGTAGCTGTGATGCTGGCTGCAATCCTAATGCAGAGTTTCTACCCCAACCTTTGTAACTAGTTCTTGGTTCTCTCTGGGATAGAAATAGGGAGTGATGTCGTAATTAGAAACCATTGCCATACATTAAAGAGTAAATTAATTTGCTGGACAAAATCTAGCAAAAAAAATTACTACATTGAAATCAATCGACCATATGCAAAGCAAAAATGCAAATAAAATATAGAAGCTCCTCCAAGAAATGCCTTCTCCTTCACAGTTGTTCACTACAAGGGTTACCAGCCCTCTATTCTTTTCTGAACCTGCTGGGCCACCACGCTCAGTCGGCTGCTATCTTCTCAATAGAACCATCTCCACCTACGACCCCCACAAAGGGCAAAGGATAGCCCCTTCCCACTTACAGTTGCCATGTATGTTTTCTGCCCTTTGCCCTTTAGGGATCAAAACTAATTGACTTTTGCAATTCCAGCTACCTTTCAGTCAGAGCATTACCATAGGAAGTGAGTGATGATAGGTACAATGTTTGCGCTTTTTTTTTTTTTTTTTTTGAGACAGAGTCTCCCTCTGTTACCAGGCTGAAGTGCAGTGGCACAATCTCGGCTCACTGCAACCTCCGCCTCCCGGGTTCAAGCAATTCTCCTGCCTTGGCCTCCCAGGTAGCTGGGACTACAGGCACACGTCACCACACCCAGCTAATTTTTGTATTTTTAGTAGAGATAGGATTTCACCATGTTGGCCAGGATGGCCTCGATCTCTCGAGCTCATGATCCGCTGGCCTCAGCTTCCCAAGGTGCTAGGATTAGAGGCATGAGCCACCAAGCCTGGACAATTTTTGCTTTTTTTAAAATGTGCTCCCAAATAATCAAATCAACAGTGTACTTTTAATGTCTTTTGAGCTCCCAACTAACTAAAAGATAATCTGTTAACTATATTATATGGGTAGAAACTTTACGGTGAACATTCTGAACCTAAGAAACTAAAGGTTCACCTTCTCATGTGTCACAAGACCAAATGCTTCAGGAACTCTGGTCTTTCTTCCAACATCCTCATGGCAATTGGAATGGTCTGATGCAGAGAAGACATTTTAATGTAACGGTACCACTTTTGCAATCAATATGGAAAAATGTTTTTCAACAAATAAATAATTTCTTATACAGATTTTTTATCTTTCCGATAAGGACTGAACTAAACTTCATGATAATAAATGGCAACTGTCCCACAGAAAAAGATTGTAATAAAATAAATTAGTATCAATGACACAAATATTGAAGAAGGGATAGATCCTCGCAGCCCCATAGTTCCTCCCACAGTACACTATGAGCGTGAGAAAAAAGAGGCCCACTTTTAGTATTCCGCATTCAGATAAACAGGGTCGTTTCCCATCAGACGCTTCCCTCTCATGTTTTTATCTCACAGTTTGGTTTCTGCTCCTTCGTGTTTTCAAGGCCCCCTGATGTGCAGGATATTGCGTGGGTCTCTCTTCCTTTCATGGTCCTATTGTCACATCCTGACAATGTTCCTCTTTCATTTTAATTTCATTTTATTACGTTTTTTCTTCACCATTGCCAGCTTCACCCTCTCGCCATCGCCGACACCCACTGAAACGTATTTTATGGATGGTCTTCTAGTCCCACCCTCTATATATTTGTTCAAAGTATACATATCATTGTGGAAATTCGTGTTGTCTCTTGTGTGCCATGCTTTATATGGGTGGCATTGTACTACAGATCCCATTCTGTTTCTTACTCTCTTCCCTCTGCCTTACATTGTTAAGATCTATTTGAGTAGTTCTCTGAATACTATGTGCATAGTGCTCCATTATGTGTATTTACCACGCATCATTTATTCTATCCCCTAATGATGAATACCTAGGTTTTCTGCAACTCTGCCACCACGAATAACCCTCCAGGGAATATATTTATGTGCATTCTCTGCCACCTGTGTGAGGACGTCTTGTGTGTGTGTGTGCCTCTGTGTGTCCCCAGAATTACTGAGTCATAGAGTATGTGTGTACCTAATTTCACTAAGCACTGCTTGACCTATCAGTTTCTGAGTATAAATTTTAAACTTTATTTACTGAATTTCTATCAATAGTTCTATCAGTGGTAGCTTCGGGTAATTGAAGTCTATTTTGCTAGTTAGATGTGTTCATGATCTTCTTGATTTATTGTTCCTTGTACCAGTATATAATTTCCATCTTTGTTCCTTATGACATTTTTTTTTAAATCTCACAGTTTTGTCTCTGCTCTTAAAACTACCACACTGCTGGGCGCGGTGGCTCACGCCTGTAATCCCAGCACTTTGGAAGGCTGAGGTAGGCAAATCTCTTGTGCCCAGGAGTTCAGGACCAGCCCGGGCAACATGGTGAAACCCCATCTCTACCAAAAAATACAAAAATTGGCTGGATGTGGTGGCACACACCTGTAATATCAGCTACTTGGGAAGCTGAGGTGAGAGGATCGCCTGAGCCCAGGAGGTCTAGGCTGCAGTGAGCCGTAATTGTGTCACTGCATTCCAGCCTGGGTAACAGAGTAAGACCCTGTCTCAAAAGAAAGAGAAAATGACTACACTAGCCAGGCATAATGATGTGCGCCTATAGTCTCAGCTACCCTGGAGCTGAGGCAGAAGGATGGCTTGAACCCAGGAGGTCATAGCTGCAGTGAGCCGTGATCACACTACTGTACTACAGCCTGGGGACAGAGCGAGACCCTAACTCTAAAAAAAAAAAAAAGAAAAAAGATAATAAATGAACAAACTACTATGCTAGCCTTCTTGTTGTTGCTAATATTCCTGTTATAACCTGGTATTTTTTGTACAGGTGTTTGTATCCTTTTGTTTAAATGTTCCTCTTAGATTTCATATTGCTGAACCTTTTAAAAATCCATTTGGACCAATTACTCCTATAATTTTGACTTGGCAGTGAAAATAAAGATGCAATATTTTTTCCATCTATGTTCTCAAGACTTGTGACTCCTGTACATGGATCGGAAGGATCCCTGGGGCTGGGGGTCTCTGGTTCAGATCCACAGCTATTGATGAAGGTGTTGTTTTTTGGTTTTGGTGGTGGTTGTTGTTGTTTTTCTTACCTACCCTGTTTAAACACTTCATGAGTGCCTTCCATTTGAACTCTAATATTGTTTGTTCTGGAAATACCAGATATTTCTTCAGATAGTTTCTTGCCTGTGTTTATTCTTTTCTTATGAAGCTACTATTGTGCAGATGTTGACACTTCTACCCTCCGTAATTCTTGACTTTTGTTTTATTCTTCTAATCTCTTTATTCATTCCTATTGTCTTCATGGAAGGTTTCTTGACCCAATATCCCAACCCACGAAAATGTTCATCAGCTTTATCCGTTCTGCCATTCAGCCCCTCCAAGGATATCTTTATTTTGACAGTTATAGATTTTTCACTTCAATATCTCCAACTAATTCTTATTCTTATAGTTTGTCATTGTCCTGTGTCTCCAATATCAGGAAGGTGGGATTCTGCTAATTTTGCTGCCGCTTCATGTCGGCACCATAACGCAGGTGTCTTTTATGCAAATCCTACAGTTTTCTGCTGTCATTGGTTCTGTGTCTTCAGCGCTGCTTCTTGCCCTTATTTCGCAGTGCTTGCTGTCCTCAGAGGTCCTGTCATTTCGCCTTCTGAGTTCAAGCATATTCCCTTGAGATTTCCAAATGCCACCTTTGTTATTGTCTTCCTACAATGAAAAACAAAAGTTCAGGGCCTGCATTGAGCTCCTCCTGGAAAGTTGAGGGGGCAAAGAAAAACTCCTGCCTCAGGACAAACCTCTGGCATTGTCATCCCTCTCAACCCTTTCTTGTTTCCAGTCCATGTCCCTCACCCACCTCCCATACACACACACAACTTCAGAGTACCTCACTCCCACCTAGACAGGGGACAGCCATCTTCCACTGTCATTGATTCTTAAACCAGTGGTGTATCTATACCACTAAATCTAGCCTCTCACTACCCGTTCCTCCACTAATAAGCATCTTATTGCTATATTGAAGTGTCTGTCTCAAAAATAACCAAATCCAATAGCCTGTTACTGTTGTCTGATTTTCCTTGACTTCTTGCTCTTATTTAACAATTGTCACTGTGCCCTCCTTGAAATCTTGACATCAAAACACTCCAGTCTTCTGTTTTCTCAGCCTCTCTGCCAACTCGCCTCCCTTTTCCCTTTTCCTCAATCCCCAAGCTTCTCTTCTTTTTCCTCCACCCCTTTGCTTGGATGGCTGACATACCCATGAGGCTTGGTCATCAGAGCTACACTAATCCCTCACGGATCCATCCCAGGCTTGACCTGGGACTAGCATCCGCAAAGGCTTGTATGTGAAGTCTGAGAGTGAAGAGAACAGGGTGCCAGCTTGGATAATAACACCAGGGATTCTTGACTCCGGATTTAAAAAAAGACTAGATACAAATGTTTAAATAGAGACTTTAAAAGACAGATGGAAGCAGGAGAGGGGGAGGGGGAGATACATGAAGATCAGCAGAAAGAGGATGCTTATTTTACTTCAAAGATGACAAAACTCACCAGCAGGACACTTAATATGAACAATAACCTAAAGATATTTGCAAAAATGTATTTAGACAAGAGTTCTAGGCTGATATATTTGACATCTGGGTTTATTAAAGTTTACTAAAATAGCTGTTAATAATTTTGAAATTTGGATCCAACTAGAAAATATCCCCACTTTCAGATGCAACTTGGAACTGTAGGTCCCACAGTAAAGCAATGGCTTCTGAAATCAGTGCTGTCAGACTGAGCTTAGGGAAAGTATCCATCATCCACCATTTTAGCAGTGGCCAAAGCCCATAACTGCCTTGGTTTCAAAACTGTAGTACTGAGCTTTTGCACTAAGAAATAAATATGATCTTAATGACAGCATCAAAAAAGTGTCTTCTCTTTGTTGGCTTAGAGATTAATTTGGACATTGACATTCCTGGCTCTGTGAGTATTGCATTTCCCCTTTCAGCTTCAGCCATCCTTGTAGCTTTAGAGACAATGGTCTGCCCAGGTGCAGGGGCTCACACCTGTGATCCTAACACTTTTGGAGGCCAAGGCAGGAGGAGCCCTTCCATCCAGTAGTTCAAGATCAGCCTGAGCAACATAGCAAGACCTTGTCTCTACAAAAAAAAATTTTTTTAATTAACCAGGCATGGTGACATGTGCCTGTAACCCCAGCTACTCAGGAGGCTGAGACAGGAGGATTGCTTGAGCTCAGGAGGTCAAGGCTGCAGTGAACCATGATTGCGTCACTGCACTCGGCCTGAGCCAAAGAGCAAAACTGTGCCAAAAAAAATAAATAAATATAAGACAATGTTCTGGCAGGTGGTAAATGTCTTGCCTCAGGTATTAATCACTCTATCAGCATTTTGTATACCTAAGTACAACAATGTCTAGAAGCATATCAGACGTAGGAGAAGAAAGTGCCTTATATGATGTAAGCCCAAAAATCAAACGGTGGCCAGAGCATAGTAAGAGTGCAGGCTTAAAAGCTATCCAGCCTGGGTGTGAGTTCTGGCTACTTACTGGCTATATGACAGCAAATGAATTAACTCTCTTATTCTCAGTTCACTCGTCTGTAAAATGGAGATAATAATATCTAGCTCTGAGAGTAAAGTTCTGGAATAGTGCCTGATACTTCTAGTATTTAATTAATATTAGCTTTTGAAATAACCAATAGTTTACCATGCTTATCCTGCCACCATAGCCTCTACAATGAATCAGACCACTTAGCTCCACCCCCATTGCATAACATTTCACATTTGGACACATAGGAGTGCTTTATACTATGGAAACCCAGTGTCCCTTCAGTCTCTATTTTGAAGCTTTCTTCTAGTTTAATAGTTTGGATTCACATGTTCTGCATGTCCTTTACTCTGAGGACACAAGAAAATCCATGCAATAATAATGAACTGAAAAAAATCCATCCTATTGATGGAGTTATGAATGAGCACTCATGAGTGTCATCTGAAAAAGCAATTTTCCAAACCCCAGTTCTCTCAGTATGTGAAAGCTTTTTTCATACTTGCCCTCCAATATCTAGCTGACAGAGAAACTACTGATCAATACTTGTCAATCATGCAGCTCTGCACTAAAGAATATGGAGCAATTTCCTTTAACTCTCTACACCACTGAAGACTCTTGGCCATTCTGCTGTTCTCAGTTCAACCAGATAACTGGGTTTATATTTTACACACCTGCACTGACACCACAGGTATTTTGTTTTGTTTTGTTTTGTTTTTTTGAGACACAGTCTTGTTCTGTTGCCCAGGCTGGAGTGCCGTGGCACAATCTCGGCTCACTGTAGCCTCTGCCTCCCAGGTTCAAGTGATTCTCCTGCCACAGCCTCCCAACAAGCTGGGATTACAGGTGGGCACCACCACACCTGGCTAATTTTTGTATTTTTAGTAGAAATGGGGTTTCACCATGTTGGCCAGGCTGGTCTCGAACTCCTGACCTCAGTGATCTGTCTGCCTGCCTCGGCCTCCCAAAGTGCTGGGATTGTAGGCATAAGCCACCACACCCAGCCCACCACAGGTTTTTTTTTAACGGGTTCAAGTTGATGCTTCAGACCTAAGAAACAATGGTAGCATATAGAACAGGAGAAATAGCAGGTACAGAATTGCAACTTGGGAAGGCCCAGCCTGCCCAAACACATAGCTGCTTTTGCCCCCTGACCTAGCCAGGGCAGCTGTGGCTGCCATGCCAGAGAGCCAAGGTCAGGGTGGGTCACCTAGACACAGAGGAGTCCTAGCTCTTTTTCCCACCAGTCACTCACACCATTCCAGTGGCGGGCTCAAGACCTCTATGCTAATTCACAGCTCTCCAGTCCAGACACAGCCCTCCACGAATGATAAGATAGCAACGACACCCATCCTAACTCTGTGCTTTCTTTTCTCTCTCTTTTTTTTTTTTTTTTTTTTTTTTTTTGAGACGGAGTTTCACTCTGTCACCCAGGCTGGAGTGCAGGGGCACAGTCTTGGCTCATTGCAAGCTCCACCTCCTGGGTTCAAGTCATTCTCCTGCCTCAGCCTCCTGAGTAGCTGGGACTACAGGCAGATGCCACCACATCTGGCTAATTTTTGTATTTTTTTATTTTTTATTTTTTATTTTTTTTTTAGTACAGACAGGGTTTCACCATGTTGGCCAGGCTGGTCTCAAACTCCTGACCTCAGGTGATCCACCTGCCTCGGTCTCCCAAACTGGTGGGATTACAGGCATGAGCCACCATACCTGGCTCTAACTCTGTACTTTCCATGGAAACAGTGCAGTGAGAAGAGGGACCCCAAGGTCACTTTCTCAGGGAGGTCTAGATCAGCCCGAGCCTGATAACCCTTCCTCATTGTCTTGGTCTGCTTGGGCTGCCCTAACAGAATACCATAGTCTGGTGGCTTAAACAATAAACATTCTCACAGTTCTAAAAGCTGGAAGTCCAAGATCAGTGTGTCCGTAGGGTTGCTTTCTTCTGAGGCTTCTCTTCTTGGTTTTCAGACTGCTGTCTTCTTGCCGTGTCTTCACTTGATCTTTTCTCTGTGCAAGAGCATCCCCAGTGTCTGTCCCTCTTCTTACAAGAACACCAGTTCTATTGGATTAGGTCTCACCTTTATGGCCTCATTTAATGTTAAGTACTTCTTTAAAGGTCCCATCTTCAAATGCAGTCACATTGGAGGTTAGGGATTCAACAGACAAATTTTGAGGGGACACAGTTCAGTCCATAGCACTCCTGATACCTCTAGTATCAGATTTATATACACATCATCTCAGCCATATTTAATTTATTCCAACTATGTGCTTCTATAGAATGTGCCTATACTCAATAATAGCAATAATCGTAACAGCTACCAGTAACTAGAATTAGTGCAAAGAAGTGCATTATCTGTTATTAACACACTCCTACGCGGTGCATATTGTTATGCCAATGCCACACATAAGGAGACTGAGGCCCAAATAGGACCTGGGAAGCTCACATGCCATGAGCGGCGAAGCCAACACATAGAAGTAGATCTTTGTGACCACAGTTCATGCTTTCTTCATCCCTGCTTGCTGCCTCCCATACATCAAATTGTGCCTGGCATCATCGTGCAGCTATTTGTGATCACCTTGGGATTAACCTGCAGGCAAGAAGCACGTCCTCATCATCATTTTACAAATGGCTTTCCTGACGCCTTTCACTCATGAACTGATCATGCAACAGCTTTGCTCTTCTGAGCATCCTGCAACCGCTCTCATCTCATGCCTCCTTCCCTTCCAACAGGCCTCCCCTACTTGCAGGATGGTACCCCCTTACCTTTTTCCTGAAGCCCTCTCTCCATGGACGAGCTCATGATCCCCTTTCTGTCACTTCCTCAGTGGGGCCTATCCTAACCACCCTACTTGAAATTGCAGCCTCCCCCACCCCACTCCAACTCTGGATCCCAGCTAACCCTGCTTGACTTTTTTCTCCATAGTGGCTACCACCTTCTAACACACAGTATATTTTATTTTCTTATTGAGTTTGTTGTTAAATTTCTCTTTCTGCCTGCAAGAATATAAGCTCTACAAGAACAGAGACTTTTGTGTGTTTTGCTTCAATACTATGAAGCAGACAAACAAAACATCTAAAACAAGGCCTGGCTCATAGTAGGCGTGAAATAAATATTTTTTGAATGAATAAATTAGATTTTATGTGTGTGGGCTTTAGTGTGATTCCTTCTATGGTGAATTAGTGGCCAGTCTCTTTGGGCAAAAGTACTCAGGAACCCAACTTAGCTCTTTATTAAGTTCTGAATTTGAGGACAGTGTTTTTTTTTTTATAATTCCTCTTGATCATTGTTTTTGCCCTTTTTGTTTAATTTAATAGCCGATTATTTTGTCCCAGTCTTCTGTGCATTTTACAGTTGTATTATTCATTATGGGTAGTTCCAGCATTTTCATAATTAATCTTTAATTGCAATACTTGCAAAGCATTTCACAAGAAAAAATGATTTACAAATTAAACCCACATCTCACCTTGGATAATTATCACAGGTCTGACTAATGTGCGTGAAGCCCTTGCATGGCAGGGGGCTCTCTACAATGACAATGTGTTGATTTTCTAATTAACAAAGGTTAAGTAGCGTTTTTGCTTGAAGACCTATAATTTAAACTTATGACGTTTGTCACCAAGAAAGATTTCTACAGAGCGCAGAAGTGGAACTCAAATAATTTTCACTGATTCTAGTGCATTAATGTCTTTTACATAATATATAATGACCGTTTTCAGGACAGAAGATTTTTCTTCATATTGACTAGATCAGGAAAAGTACCTTCTAGCTCACTGTCCCATTTAAATAAATCAGGGACTACCTAAGCAAGAAAAGAGCCTAATTTATTTAGTTTTCCTTTATAGAGCGAGAAATGGCATTTCACTCACCTGCTTTATAAATTATGAAGAGGGAGGACAAAACTTTTTATTTATTTATTTATTTAGAGACAGAGTTTCTTTCTTTTTTGCCCAGGCTGGAGTGCAATGGCATGATCTCGGCTCACTGCAACCTCTGCCTCCCAGGTTCATGCCATTCTTCTGCCTCAGCCTCCCAAGCAGCTGGGATTACAGGTGCATGCCACCACGCCTGGCTAATTTTGTATTTTCAGTAGAGAAGGGATTTCACCATGCTGGCCAGGCTGGTCTCAAACTCCTGACCTCAGATGATCTGCCCGCCTTGGCCTCCCAAAGTGCTGGGATTACAGGAGTGAGCAAAACTTTACTTAATGAACACAACAAATACAAACTAGACTACAGTCATATGTTACACCCAGTTAAAAGAGGGAGAAAAAAAAAAGTCAGACATCGGTGCAAAGAAAGAAAAAGCAAGCAAGGAAGAGATTTAATAGAATTTGAGAGTGTTTACTGAAATTCAGAAAAAAAGACACAGGCCCAGAGGGAGAGCCTGTGAACCGTGAGCCAGAGTAATTCAGAGCTGGAAGGAGTCACAGACACCATCTAGTTCAGCCTCCTTTATCTGTGGATGGGGAAACCGACGCTGAGAGAGACTATGTAATTTGATGAAAGCCACACAACTGAGTAGAAATAGTTGATGATCCTGAGAAGGAAAGATCCACAAACACAAGTGCAGGAAGAGAGATGGATCCATGTAGAACCTAAGAAGTCCAAAGACCCAAGAATCAAGACAGAAGCAGAGGGAGAAAACTCCGCCCCACTAAATCCTTTCTGAAATGAACCCTGTATATATAAATAATTAAGTATCCATGAATAGATCTAAATATCTGCCTTAATGATATAATAAAAATATGATTTACTCTAGATTTATTTGCTCTGCCAATTGACCCTTTGAAAAATATCTCCATTCTCAATCATTAAAAAGTCAGGAAACAACAGGTGCTGGAGAGGATGTGGAGAAATAGGAACACTTTTACACTGTTGGTGGGACTGTAAACTAGTTCAACCATTGTGGAAGTCAGTGTGGCGATTCCTCAGGGATCTAGAACTAGAAATACCATTTGACCCAGCCATCCCATTACTGGGTATATACCCAAAGGATTATAAATCATGCTGCTATAAAGACACATGCACACGTATGTTTATTGCAGCACTATTCACAATAGCAAAGACTTGGAACCAAGCCAAATGTCCAACAATGATAGACTGGATTAAGAAAATGTGGCACATATACACCATGGAATACTACGCAGCCATAAAAAATGATGATTTCCTGTCCTTTCTAGGGACATGGATGAAGCTGGAAACCATCATTCTCAGCAAACTGTTGCAAGGACGAAAAACCAAACACCGCATGTTCTCACTCATAGGTGGGAATTGAACAATGAGAACACATGGACACAGGAAGGGGAACATCACACACCGGGGCCTGTTGTGGGGTGGGGGGAGGGGGGAGGGATAGCATTAGGAGATATACCTAATGTTAAATGACAAGTTAATGGGTGCAGCACACCAACAAGGCACATGTATACATATGTAACTAACCTGCACGTTGTGCACATGTACCCTAAAACTTAAAGTATAATTTAAAAAAAGAAAAATATCTCCATTCTTCATCATGTTAACATTCAGAGTCTTTTCAAACTCTCAATCATTGCTGAAGATCCATGAAATACCAATTGTTTCCAAATTAAAATACATCCCAGATAGACAAAAGGTTAACATGTGGAGAGAAGCAAAATCACAAACATGTTAGAAGAAAATATGGTTGAATAATCATATTATTTTGTATTGTAGAAGGTCTTTATAAGCCTCTGACCAAAGGCAGGAATCACACAAATAAGACAGGTGGATGTGACTACAAAAACATGCAAAACTTTCATCGGGAAAAAGAAACACCATAGAGAAGTCAAAAGACACAAACTGGAAAGATACAGCTGCAATAAAGAGTTATTTATAACCAAGAGTTAAAGCTCATATTGTTATTAATCAATAAGAAATATATTCTCTTGTATTCCCAGCAAAAAGCGAAGAACACAAAGAAACAAAAAATAAGAAAAGGGAAAACATTAAAATTACTCAGCTCACAGTATTTGAGGTGATGCAGATTTAAACAGTGAATCCTTTTTGCCCCCGTCGAGCAGACTGGCATGAATACAAAAAGGCACTGACCAATATTAGAATTGTGTGGAGAAGATGAAAATCTCATACCCTACTGGTGAATTAGAAGTTGGTAAATTCTTCTTAGAAGAAAACATATTTAAAGTGCCTTTAAAATGTATATGCCCTTCATCCTAGCAATTAGACTTAAAAGTATGATTAACTAATTTTAAAGAATGAATTCTAAGGAAAAACTGGACGACAAGTGTGCAAAGGTTTTCATAAAGATTATATTATTATAGTATCATATAAAATGGAAAATTTTAAAAACTTAAAAGTCCACTGGTGGTGCAAGAGCGAAATAAGTGATAGTGCATTCACAGAATAGGATGCTATGCAGATACTAAGCAAGATGTTCTCGTTGTACATTTATTGCTTGGAAAATGTTGCAAAGGCTGGGCACGGTGGCTCACACCTGTAATCCCAGCACTTTGGGAGGCCAAGGCAGGCAGATCACGAGGTCAGGAGTTCGAGACCAGCCTGGTTAACATGGTGAAACCCCATCTCTACTAAAAATACAAAAATTAGCTGGGTGTGGTGGCGTGTGCCTGTAGTCCCAGCTACTGGGGAGGCTGAGGCAAGAGAATTGCTTGAACCCGGGAGGCGGAGGTTGCAGTGAGCTGAGATCATGCCACTGCACTCCAGCCTAAACAATAGAGTGAAAATCCGCCTCAAAAAAAAAAAGTTTCATGATATGTTAAGTGCAAAAAGCAAGTTTCAAAACAATGTGTATATTATGATTCCATTTCTTCCTTTTTATTTACACATAGTATGTTCATAGAAAAATGAAAAAGGCTGTTCCCTAAAAGTGAAAGTAGTTAAATCTGAGTAGCGTAACAGAATCTGTTTTGTATTCTGCTTCTCAGTATGTTTATAGTGACCACAATGACTATTACATTGATCACCAGGCAGAAAGAGATGGGGAGATCTAAAAATGATTTCTACATTTTAGCATATTTTGATAGAATATAATTGTCTTAATTGACTAGTGATAAAAAATTTTTAAGGCCAGACATTTATTTAATAAAATGTCTTTTGGAAAGCCCTTATTGCAAGGACAAAAGCCATAATGGCTAAAATAATAGAAGCCAAATTGAAATTCTAACACACAAGGTGTAACTAGAGGGTTGAAGTTCTTCCAAATCAGGCAAAGGCCCTCATTCTCTTCAGCGTAGAGGTGTGAAGCCCAGTTGACAAACAGATGGCAGAATGGGAAATCCTTCAAAGTAGTTGTTTTTAATAACTTCTTTTGCCATCTACTCTCTCATAGCTTTGATCAAAAAAGGCACTGGACTCTCTTCACTTCTCTATTCCAATATGTTAGAAGAAATCAAATACTCCCAAGGGAGTCATGATTAAAACCAATGAGTCACCCAGTGAGAGAACTGCAAGGCTTGGGTTTGCAGAGATGGTACAGCAACTCATTTGCCACTTCACTGATGGGGTTTTGCAGGCATAAGCAGATGCTAATTCATCTCTGCCACTAAAGCCTTTGATATTCCAGTCCTGTCTGACCAATCTACTGGAGTTTATGACTTTTCTTAAGATAATAGAGTAAGTGATCAGAATCAATCCCCAGCCTACTGATCTTACCTGAATTCCAGTAACCCTACTGACTACTCCATGTTTAAAGACCTCCAAATCTACATCTCAGAAACATGTACATCTATGAGACCCCTGACTGGAAAGTTCTTCTCGGTATTAAGTGGTCTACACAGAACAGGGCTTAAGACAATAAACCCTGTTTGTTGCCTTAGGAATAAGACAGATCTGATACAGTTGCCACTCAGGAACTATGAGTCCTTGAGTAAACTTCTTAACTTCTCCAAGCCTCAGTTTCTCCATCTGTACAATGGGAATAATGCAAATAATATCTACTTTGATAAGTTGTTGTGAGGACCAGGTGAGTAGCATATATAAGGTACTGTATATAGAGTGCCTAGTATGTAGCCCTCAATGAAGGAGAAACTTGGGTTTTATTTTTATTAACAGTATTTTCTTTTCTAAATGCTCATCACCTATTTCTTTCAACAGTTTTACCTACTATTCATTTTAGATTAGTTTCCAGAAAAGTTGTTACTCTAAGATGCAAGCATGTATATAAATTTGAGTTCGTCCTTTTATACCAGCTGCTTTAAAAAGATTATAGCTAAGAATACTATAGACACAATTAAATCCATTTGTGATAGAATGCCTCAATGAATCTTTCTGTGAAATTTCTTGGGAATATTTTAATATTTTCATGCTCATGAACCTCAGTCCAACTCTATAACTTACTCCAAAAATCACAGTGAACGTGCTTATTGTGCTATATGTCGTGTAATGACATTTAGACAAAAGCAATGAAATCTGATCTAACCTAGCAATAAATGTGGTATAGCTGATTTCTGTGTAAAGTTATCAGTTCCAGCTTCCAGCTACCCCAGACAAGGAGCCTTGGGTAGTCTTGACATGAACTTAAAAGCAAAGCCTCTCTTGAGACAAGAACCAAGATCTACAATCACATTTCAAACGGATTTATGTCTTCCAACTAATTGACTTGTTAACTATGCTAATACATTCATGTCTCTGCCTTTATATTTTTTCAATAAGTAATGCTACAGAACTCGATGTTGTGAGATTAAAGAGCAAAGAATCTAGAGATTTCTGTAAACGCTTTTTCTATAGGAAACCAGATTAGACTTCCAAAACAGCTGATATAATTTTTGTGCATCTCCAAATATTTTATTTCTGTAGGAAACGTGTTGCTTCTCAGAAGATGGCTCTTTTAATTAGGCCTTATAGCCTGCAGGGAGAAAAGCTTCAACTTTCTCTATTTAGATAGGACCAACTTGATAGTGACAATACTAGATGTGCTATGCAGTGTCATCTCCTACCACAGTTGTTCAAAATATGAAGAATTAAGCAATAGCAGAGGTTATTCCCTCTGAACTCTGTGCCTTCTGTCATTCCCAGGTGGTGCTGGGGGCCAGCAGGGCTTCCTGGGCTGCATCCGCTCCTTGAGGATGAATGGGGTGACACTTGACCTGGAGGAAAGAGCAAAGGTCACATCTGGGTTCATATCCGGATGCTCGGGCCATTGCACCAGCTATGGAACAAACTGTGAAAATGGAGGCAAATGCCTAGAGAGATACCACGGTTACTCCTGCGATTGCTCTAATACTGCATATGATGGAACATTTTGCAACAAAGGTAAGGTGGAACCCATTTCCAGAGCCACTTTTGCGTGTCTTTTTAAGCCCAAATCATCTATTTAATGATTTTTCATATGTAAACAAGTGTACCTTATTCTGAGGTTAAGATGATCAGAATTTTTCTCTCAACTTAGGTAGGAATTTTCCAACCAAAATCATTTCCTAATCATTTTTGTTTGATAAAATGAGAGAAGCTCTGTGTATGGTGCAGAATTTCTTCCAGATTCTAGCAAATTATTCACTGCCCGAAACACTACAAAGGCAGTCTCATTACATCTTAATGGTGAGTGATAAAATAGGTGGCCTTCAAAAGGGGAATCAGGCCTGACCCTCCCACGTTAGGATCTCCAATAGATCAATTGATCAGTCAATTTCTGTAGTGAATCAGCCAGTGCACCCCAGTGGTCTTGATGCCCCCACCCCCTGCAGTTGCTAAGAGACTGGATTCAAGCTACACTCACCAGAAAGCTCCTCTGGTCAGTCATTAACATCATTATTATTACTCTTACTCAGGATGCCTTTGAGTGGCTCTCAGCCTAAGCTAAACTGCAGAAATGCTGAAAAACCACATTTAATTGGTCAGCTTAGAGCATCTGTTATTACTTGGTTATTTTAGTCTTGAATAATTCCTTTAATCCCCAGTAGATTCCGCAGAGCCAATGAGCAGAGTACAAGAGCCCAATGCATATGCATGTTATCATTTGAACTATACCCTGTGATCCTGCTTGACCAGAAGAAGAAATTGACTCAACTGGTCTGTGGCTTAATTTCCCATATATAAATGAGGGATGAAGAGAGGAGGAGCTGGTGCTTTTCCTAAGCCACAATTGAAATGCATGTAAATCACTCCTCTCTTTCTAAATGAATGTATAGCATATGGGTAAAGTTTTCTGTGAGCGGTTGGTGCATCTCTTAATAAGAAGCTTTACATAAGTAGCCTGTTCAGACTCTGATGAATACATGGAGGGTTGTTTACACTGGCATTATTCACACAAGATGCCACACACAGAAGGAGGAATTGTTCCATAACATTCTCTGTACCTCCAGGCTACTGTTTGGCAGCGCTATAATATGAGCATACAAATTAGGCCAGACAGGGTATGAAAAATGAGCATGAGACAACAACAAAGGTGGAAAGGAACACCATTGCAGAATAATACCAAAGCACATTAACAGTGCTATTACAGTGCATTTTTCTGTTCAGAACAACATGGTTCCATGATTTTCCTGCGGCACACAATTGAATGGGCCTGCAGAACACATTAATTTTGCACTTGTAGAAATGACAGTCTTGCAATTACCATTCATTGTGCTTGATGCTAATTTAATGCAGTCATTTCCTTGCCAAAGTAATGTCTGAATGCAATCAAGTAAGCACTAATGCCTGCGAGATTCCACTACATAAGTACCAGTTTAAAGAAAATCACCATCCCTTTATTTTTGGAGAGTTAGGTTAAACACAGTAGCTCACGCAAAACCTCTGGAGATTAATAGGCAATAGTCATGAATAGAAAGGCAGGGGCATATCCTCTCCAGGTTAGGCCACATTGCAGATAAAGTGAAATGACGCCTGTGTGTTGCCTCTGACATTATTTCAACATGTTTACACAAAAGACATCTAAATATTTCCTTATTATCTGTTTAGCAGAATGAGTTTTCATTTGATTCAATTAGTGACTTTAACCAAAAAATTTAAATAGAAGACTGCAAAACATATTTGGAAATCATTTATGAGCATCCTTCTGAGTCAAGTACCTCCTTGACTTGGTAGAATGACAGTGGAACTGTTTCAGAGGAATCCCACAGCTGTCCAGGAAAGCTTTGTCTGCACTGAGGCAAGCTCCATCAGGGACTGGAAGGATCTCCCAGCCTGATGCTGTCTCTGCTCTGGACCTCACTCTCCAGGTAGCCTGGTGCCTGCACAGCAGTTCCTGTGACCGCCCCCCACCTCAGGCTGGTGCTTCAGCCAAACAGCTCAGCCTCTACAAAGAGCTTTGGCATTGGCCGAAGAATGAGCTCCATGCAAGGCCTTCTCTGGCCTTCCTTTGGGAGTATAGGTCTATGCTTGCAGATGTGGAAAACATCGCTAATATTTTGCCAAGTGAATGAAGCAAGGCCCAACCTACCACACACAGCCGGACTACGTGTTTATACAAAATAAAACATGCATACACGCAGAGATGAGGCAAACAAACTGTGAGAATACACGCCAAAATATTAACTGTGGTTATTTTTTGCAGGAGGATAAAAATACTAGTATTTTTTCTTATTTTATTTTGCTTTAAGTTCTGCGATACATGTGCAGAACATGCAGGTTTGTTACATAAGCATACGTGTGCCATGGGGTTTGCCGCACCTATCAACCCGTCATCTAGGTTTTAAGCCCCATATACATTAGGTATTTGTCCTAATGCTCTCTCTCCCCTTGCCGCCAACCCCCCAACAGACCCCTGTGTGTGATGTTCCCCTCCCTGTGGCCATGTGTTCTCACTGTTCAGCTACCAATTATGAGTGAGAACATGTGGTGTTTGGTTTTCTGTTCCTGTGTTAGTTTGCTGAGAATGATGGCCTGTAGCTTCATCCATGACCCTGCAAAAGACATGAACTCATTCTTTTTACAGCTGCATAGTATTCCATGTTGTATATGTGCCACATTTTCTTTATCCAGTCTATCATTGATGGGCATTTGGGATGGTTCTAAGTCTTTGCTGTGTAAATAGTGCTGCAATAAACATACATGTGCATGTTTCTTATTTTGTTTTTGCTTAGCTACATTTTCCAGTCTTTGCACAATGATGTATTTCCTCTAACATCATTATTTTTTCTTCTTTGGAAAAATAATAGTAGGAAGCCAAGTTCTTACCCCAGACATTTGAGGGATAACTATCTCTGGTCATAAAATATCTAGCTATTTATTAGATATTATTGGACCATCTAGTTGTACTTTCTGGAATGGAGAAGCATGGTCAGGTGAAAATTTTATGTAATTATATTGTCCCTGAGAATCTCAATACATTTAACAATGCATTTGTTAAATCTCAATACATTTAGCAGAACTCATTTTCCACAAGCAGCTGAAGAGATCACCCTTCAGATGGGCATCGGAGGAAGGGCTGCCTTGTTGGGGTCAGGTTGCATGAAAATAAAGACCTCAAGACACTAGTATCACACTCAGCTATGTGAGAGGCTCACACTAGGACAGGCTTGGGACCCAAAATAGCCCAGGTCATAAAATAGCCCAGGGGGACAGATAAGCTAAGTCTCACCCCTGTATATTATTAGCCCATCCAGGAGAATGGTGGGCAGACAGCCCATACTGTTTGAATTCTGTTTTTCCCTCCTCTCCTTCTCCCCCTCCTCCCCATCCTCCTTATCATCCTCCTCTTCTTCCCTTCTCTTCCTCCTTCCTTCTCCGTTCACCATAAGCACAATCTTTATTTCTACATCAATCCCTGTCTCTGTCTCTGTCTCTCCATATTCCATACCTACTTTCCCTCTCTCCCTTTCTTTTGCTGGAGTGTATAGTTGAATATGTAAGTGAAATTACCGTGTCTTGTCACTTTGTTGAACTAGGAAGACAGGGCTGGATTTGAGTAGGTTCCTCATGATCATCTCTTCTGCTTTGTAGATGATGCACTGATACTCACTATTCCGCACTAGTCAAAACCACACAAGAAGGGGACTTCCTCTAACCTCTTATCCAAAACCCTTTTTTCTTTTCTTTCTTTCTCTTTTTTTTTTTTTTTTTTTTTTTTTTTGAGATGGAGTTTCTCTCTTGTCGCCCAGACTGGAGTGCAGTGGCACAATCTTGGCTCACTGCAACCTCTGCCTCCTAGGTTCAAGTGATTCTTCTGCCTCAGCCTCCCGAGTAGCTGGGATTACAGGCACCCATCACCACATCCAGCTAATTTTTTATTTTTAGTACAGACGGTTTCAACATGTTGGCCAGGCTAGTCTCGAACTCCTGACCTCAGGTGATCTGCCTGCCTCAGCCTCCCAAAGTGCTGGGATTACAGGCATGAGCCACCACACCCAGCCCAGAGCCCTTTTTCAAAGAGATGCCTAAAGATTTGACCACCAGTTAAAGTGTTAGCTCTCCCAGGGCTACTTGAATCTTTAGTAGGAGTGCTGACTGGGGAATATTTCATGGTTTGGAGATAGCACAAGGGCGTTGTGGAAACCCTACAACTAGACCATGCAGGCAGTCTCCTCATCTGTCGGCAGATAACTGAGCAGCATCCCATCTTCTCAGCACGTTCATCAATGAGGAGCAGTTTAACTCAGTGGAGGTAGGTCCCTTCCAATGCAGAATTCCTTGGCACCCCATCGGCTGAGGCTGAGGGGAGAATCATCCCAGACTACATGGAAGGTTTAACTGTGGGTCTGTCATCCCCAGGATTATTGGGGACCGAATGGATAGTTGCTTGGTCATGCCAAAGATAGTTTTCTAACATTAAAACTGCTCCTTCTTGGAGAGTCAGATCCCAAAACACTCAAGAATTCTATAATTATCAATGTCACTTTTATTACTAACCAGAAATTAGAGACATAATTTGCAGTACACTCTCTGTGTGTCTTCTCTGTGTGTTTAAGCAAGAGAGAAAATAACATACCTATAGTAGAGGCAGCAATTTCTGTGTTTACTTTTCGTGGTTGAATGCCATAGTAGATTGAATAGTGTCCCCCAAAATTCATGTCCACCTAGGACTTCAGAATACAACGTTGTTTGGAAGTAGGGTCCTTGCAGATGTGATTATGGTAAGTTGAGGTCATACTAGGAGGTTGGCCCTAAATCCAATGACTGTGTCTTCATAGGAAGAGGAGGGGGCACAGAGGTACTGACAGACATAGAAGGAAAGCCATGTGAAGACGGAGGCAGAGATCGGAGTTACACTGCCCCAAGCCAAGGAATTCCTGAGGCTACCAGAGGCTAGAAGAGTGAAGGAAAGATTCTTCCCTAGAGTTTTCGAAGAAGCGTAGCCCTGAGAACACCTTGCTTTCAGACTTCTGGCTTCCTAGGAAAATAATACAAGTTCGAAGAAAAACCTACCATCTTCTTAATTCTTGCTCTTAACAAGGATAGCAGCTGGTATTTATTGAGAACTTGTCTGCTAGGCAGTGTGCTAAGCTTTCTAATTGTGTTAGCATCGTTTAATCCTCACCACAACCTGGTGAAATGATTGCTATTACTAGTGCTCCTATTGTACCAAGAAGGAGATGGTTGTAGTAGCCTGCCCCAAGGTTCACATATTAGTAAGAGGCAAGACTCCCTTTCCTTTCATTTTGTAGCAACTAAAAGCATAGCCTCTAGTCTTAAAGCTTTTTGATTATTGTGATTGAGTAAAAAGAAATTAGAATATTACTGGATGCAGAGTTTATCATAAAAAATAGGATACAAGAATTGAACAGACACTGTTTTTTTTTTTTTGCTACATCTAGGTGTAAGGTTTATTCATTTATTGACTCTTATTGAGCAAACATTCATTGAACACCTAATGTGCCCAGAAGTCTTGAATGTATAGTTGAATCTGACTACACTGAAATTTCCAAAGCATTTTAATGGTTTACAGATACAAAATCAGGCAAGTCTAGAATATATGATAGGAATACATGTGAATTGGATATCACCCAGGCTGCTGAAAACAGTTCTTCATTATGATCCTTTCACCAAGCCAAGTTAAGCAAGAACTTATCATCAAGAGACACAAAGATATCTCCAAATTCACTCATCTGCACTTTTTTTAACTATAAAAATGTTCATGTTCATATGCCAAACCAGGACTGCAGTTGAAAAATACATTTCTTTAATCACTCTGAAACCATTTTCTGAGTTAGGGAGTTCTGTTTTCTTCTCAAACATTCATTTGTTTATTGCTTAGAAAAAACTTGAAGAATAAAAGTCACAGGATTACTGAGTGACCAAGATTTGAATAGTCATTCAATCATTGCAGTGTTTCCATCATTTACAGTCACACAAATAATGTGCCACCCTCCCTGTGTTCCAGCTAAGTCTCCTATTCTCCCTATGAGTATTGTGAAGTTAGCTAATATTTTATAATCTGTATTATTAAGATGGTAGAAGAAATTGTTTATAGCAAATTCAAGTCTCAACCTATAAGATGATGATGGAATTAGATGTCAGTTTGAATCCATCTTTCTCACATACCTGTTACGTAACCTTAGGAAAATTGTTTGTCACTGAGCCTTATCTTCAGGAATACATAGTAACTACCTCTTAAGGATACCTTGAAAATCACACAGAATAATGTGAATGAATTTCCACATGAAGGACCTGGCACACAGCAGTCCAACAGCAAATGTCCTTTTCATTCTTAGCAGCTCTTTGCTTTTTGGTTTGTGTTTTTGTTTTTACTTAATTCATGTTGTCCTTTAATCCTTCCCTAATAGCTTTAAATGTCAAATGCCTAACTGGCATTATTTCGGTGATCCTTGAGTATTGGATTGTCATTTCGGTACTTCAGGAGCAGTGGCAGTGTCCTAAAATGTCATTTCTACTTAATTTTGGTCACAGTAAAAGTATTCTGAAGCCCTGAAGGGCTGAGAAGTATGCAGAGATTCTGGAAGATGCAACTGGAAACCACACCCACCATATCGGACTGGTTTTGTCAATAGCGCAAGTCTTGGAGCAATGTATCCAGTCCTTTCAAGAACCAAGTTGGGTCACCTTAGTAACTCCTGCATCCCTTCCTGACTCAAGGCCCATCAGGAGACAAGAAAGCGCTGATTAGCCAGGCACACTGGCTCACACCTGAATCCCAGCACTCTGAGAGGCCAAGGTGGGAAGATCATGTGAGCCCAGGAGTTCAAGACCAGCCTGGGCAACATAGTGAGAACTTGTCTCTACAGAAAGACAAAATTAGCCAGGTGTGGTGGCACATACCTGCAGTCCCAGCTACTTGGGAGGCTGAGATGGGAGGATTGCTTGAGCTCAGGAGGTCAAGGCTTCAATCAGCCGAGATTGTGCCACTGCACTTTAGCCTGGGCAACAGAGCAAGACTGAGGAAAGAAAGACAGAGGGAGAGAGGGAGAGAGAGGGAGTGAGAGAGGGAGAGAGGGAGAGAGAGGGAGAGAGGCGGGGTGCGGGGGAGAGAGAGGGAGGGAGGGAAGGAGGGAAGGAAGGAAGGAAGGAGAGAAAGAGAGAAAGAGTGAGAAAGAGAGAGAACAAGAGAGAGAAGAGAAAGAAAGGGAAAGAAAGAAAAGGGAGGAGAAAGAGGGAGAGAAAGAAGGAGGAGGAGAGAAGGAAGGAAGGAGAGAGAGAGAAGCAGAGAAAGAGAAGAAAAGAAAAGAAAGGTCCCAGACTCCTTTTTGCTCCAAGAGACCTCAGGCTCAAGTCCACGTTATACCTCTAAGGAAGAGAGGGTTTTCCACTTGCCTCCTAGAGAAACATTTCTTGTTGGATGTGAGGTAGTGGGTTTGCCAAAAGCGGTTGGAAGACTGAACAAATTCTGTTCCACAGCTCTCAGTATGAAACAGGGACCAGAATAAATGCATGGTCTACCCTTTTAGAGCAGGTTGGAGAGAAAATTAATTAATACAAAATATATAAACAAATAGGGAGAAAAAGAAGAGAAATGTTGGAAGTATGCATCTTAGAATTTCACCCCTATGTGAAATCAGCTAAGCTGTTAGTGACAATGGCCATTTTTCCTCAGGTCTACCTATCCAGTCTTAATAATCCCAGCTTGGAAGACACTTTCACATCAGTAGGGAGAGAAACTTTTCACAGGCTTCTTTTTCATTTTCAGTTGGAACAGGAGGTTTGACAGATTTGGAAGAAGGCCCAAAGGAACAAGAATAGAACCCTTTTTTTTTCTTTTCTTCTTAGAGAATTATTCAAGTAGAGAAAATATCCCTTCTCTCTTAATGTATTTCTTAAATCTTCAGACCTTAGGATGCAATTTAAAAGTATCATGGTAACTGTGATGGTTAATTTTAAGTGTCAACTTGACTGGTGTTCCATAGGGAGCAGGTCTATGCAAGCCTACCTCCAAAGGCCAAGGGAGCTGAGAGGCCAAAGAAACAGTCTGACAAAGCCAGTTTCTCAGAAGAAAAAAAAAACAAATTGAATAGGGACTTACCAACAGAAGTTGCGTCTCTGGTATCTACAAGATGAGATGGTGGATTCCTTTACCTCCTCAGACCCAGGGCCTATATACCATAGAGAAAGGGTCTACATGCTTCAGAAGCAAGTTACCCTAGAGCAGAATTTGCAGTAAACAGTAGATAAGGTGGAAAACTTAGTGGCATTCTGCAACTGGGTTATTCAGAAGCCAGCATGGTGCATTAGCATCCAAGAAGGAGGTGCTTTAGCCCCTACACCTAGAAATCTGTAAAGCATTACTTTGAGGTGGGTCTGTGAGGCTGTTTCCAGAGAACATTAGCATGTGGGTCTGAGTGGATGAGGTGGGGAAGAGCTACCCTCAATGTGGGAAGGCATTATCCTGTCTGCTAGGGGCTGCAGAGAACAAAAACAGAGAAAAGGTGGTAGTGTCTATCTATCTACTAGAGATGAGATATACTGTTTTGGGGCAACTCCAGGCTCCCTAGCCTTTGGGCTCCAGAACTTATACCAGATTCTCATGCTTTTGAGCTTGGGCTAAGAGTTACACCATTGGCTTCTTTTGTTCTGAGGCCTTTGGACTTGGACGGAGCCACACCACTGGTACCCCAGGGTCTCCACCATGTAGAGGACGTATCATGGGACTTCTCAGCCTCCACAATTACATGAGCCAATTCCCCTAAGAAATCCCCTCTCGTATGTCTATATCTATATAGTCTGTTGATTATGTCCCTCTAGAGAGAACCCTAATACCATAACGCATGAAAATAATCTGATTAAAAGCTTAAAAAATAAAGAGAGAAGGAAGAGCCAAAAAGTCAGAAAATATTTATGGATGAAAATCCATAAGTGGACAGAAGTCCACAAATATGTATGGAAAAAGAAAATAATTTTGACTTAATTCAGAAAAGTCAAAGCTGCAGAGATAGCTGCCAAGTTTAAGTGGCTTTGTTATAGAATTTTGTGGTGGTAAAATAACATTCCCCCTAGCCTGAGGTTCTCTTTGGGGTCCCAGATATTTGAGAAAACCTGGCCAATTAACTTTCTTAGAGAAAGAGATTTAAAAATTCAGTGCAGAAAAAGCAAGTCCTCCGTAAACTGTTCTAAATCTAATACAGGACAAAGTGTTCGGATTTGGCTTTGGTTGTAGGATAAATAACTTTTGTTTCAAGTGTGTGCCCTTTTTTTTTTTTTTTTTTTTTTTTTTTTTTTTTTGAGACGGAGTCTCGCACTGTCACCCAGGCTGGAGTTCAGTGGCACAAACTCGGCTCACTGCAAGCTCCAACTCCCGGGTTCACGCCATTCTCCTGCCTCAGCCTCCCGAGTAGCTGGGACTACAGGCGCCTGCCACCACACCAGGCTAAATTTTTGTATTTTTAGTAGAGACGGGGTTTCACCATGTTGGCCAGGATGGTCTCGATCTCCTGACCTCGTGATCCGCCCGCCTCAGCCTCCCAAAGTGCTGGGATTACAGGCGTGAGCCACCGCGCCTGGCCAAGTGTGTGCCCTTTTCTAATCCCCACCAGTGTGGGGACACAGCTGAATTTTTTTTCCTGAGTGTTTTATTTGTATATGTTGTTGAGTGTTTTTATTTCCTGTTCTTCAGCAATGATCAGAACTCTAAATAATGTGAAGTTCACAGAAATAACACTCTTTATCTTTTCCCACATATTAGCTCCATGACTTGAGCTGAAACTCTATACATTTCTTTTCTTTTCTTTTGTGAGCCAAAAAGGAACTGGTCTGATAAATTGTCCTGAGGGTTTTGCTTTTAGATTGCTCACATGTTTGGCTGCCCTGCAAGCAGGTCCATTCACCAACGTCCACGCTGCCCTTGAGTACTCCATCACGTCTATGGGCCATGAAGACCTGCCTCTGACATGCAATTTCTTCACTCCACAACCATTTGCGCGCTTATCATTTCCAACAGGCAGCTCTGGCCTTAGCAACTGGGCTCATTCCAGGCATTCCTTGGCTACAGGAAATTTACTTTCTTAAATAATCAAGCCTGAGACTATAATGCTATAGCCTACCCATTTTATAGATCAACCTGGCTTTGAACTCACTCACATATTTTTACCTCTATTAATTCCAACTGGTTACAAGAGTGTTTGATTTAGATAAATAGGCATTTTATATTTTTCTGTTTAAAACCAAATCCTGAGAAAACAAATTATGAAGAGCCAGCTGCTCTCTCTGAGCCATCCTTTTCTTGGCATTTTAAATGTATTACCTTCATTTTCTCAAGAGGACTGGGCACAGGATATAGTGAAATGTTTAACTTGACTAACAATACTTTCTAGCTACTCTTCCAAGGGATATGTTTACTAAATATAAGGTGGCTTTTACAGTATTCAAGTTCTATAAGGCAAAGACTCTCAATTAAATTAAATTATTGGCAGTACAATTTAACATTCTACATTCTGTGTGAACGAAGTAATTTCAAGCAGTTTGATCATTAATAATAATTTTATTCCTTCCTATACACTGAGCACAAGTTTAGTGAAATACGGGAACATGTACAGAGAGCCTGCTGTGGGGGAAGCAGTGGATTGCCAGCAAGGAAGGACAGGATGAATAAGACTAGGCTGGGAATGCAATGGAGGGGATAGAACCAACTGCAGCATGCAGGGAAACAAGCCAGAAGGCCGAGTGAGAGACCCCCATGGATACCCACGCTGAAGGTTCTACTGGGAGGGCTGCCTGATTCAAAGTCTTGTCCAAGGACAGCATGGCAGATAGTGGTGGGTTGCACCTAATTCTGAGGGCGTAATTTGGGTTAAGGGAGAAGACTCTTTGGAAAACATATATCATTAAAGCCTAAAGTCTAAAGACAAAAGTTTTAAAGCATCTCAATTTTTTTAAAATTGTCTTTGAAATAATACAATTGATATTTACAAGAAATACTTATTTGCTTTTTTTTTTTTTTTTTTTTTTTGAGACAGGCTTTGAGCTTTGTTGCCCTAGCTGGAGCGCAGTGGTGCAATGATGGCTCACTGCATCCTCGACCTCCTGGGCTCAAGTGATCCTCCCACCTTGGCCCCCAGAGTAGCTGGGACTATAGGCATGTGCTACCATACCCTGCTAAGTTTTTAATTTTTTGTAGAAACAGGGTCTCACTGTGTTGCCCAGGCTGGTCTCAAACTCCTGGCATCAGGGTATGCTCCCACCTCAGCCTCCCAAAGAGCTGGGATTACAGTCATGAGCCACCATGCCCAGCCTACTTATTTGCTTTTAATATTACAAAATTGAATTGCTTTAGACATTAATAGTGGACAAAATATTTTAGGAGTTAGATTAGCTTAACTATTTTTCAAATTATATTCCACCAGCCAAAAATATTTCATGAGGCTTTGCCTTCTTTAATTTCTAATATGAAAACAGTAGGGAATTTTTTCCATTTTTCAAAAAGTTATTCTAATAATTAATATGATTTTCTCAAAATACACGTCTCCTTGCAGTTTTTTCCCTTACTCCCACCTCCAGATAATTTTATATGAACCTAGTGGACACCTTCCCCTTGAGTATTTCTGCCTTAAAGATAACTTTAAAGATACAACTTCAAAGATAGATCAACAAATTGATATGTAAACCAGGCACGGTGGCTCATGCCTGTTAATTCCAGCATTTTGGGAGGCTGAGGCAGGATTGCTTGAGCCCAAGAGTTTGAGACCAGCTTGGGTTACACAGTGAGACCCCATCTCTATAAAAAAAATAAATATCTAAAAATAAATTGACATGTAAATAAGTTTATCTTTGCTTTTTGTTAAAAGAGGTCTTCTAAAAACTTGCTTTTATCAACTTTAACATTACTAAATTTTATTTTAGTATTCTGAAGTTTAGACCTTAACTAATGCAAATTTGCTTACTTTAGACTAGTACAAATGACTTATGATTTACCTGTGCCAGTAGCCAATCTCACTTTCTGTGCTTCTCCCTAGGGAGTTGGGTCAAGTATAGCTTACAGAGAAATACCAAATTCTAGCCCTTATGTGAATCATTTCTCAGCAATCCTCAAAGGCACCAAAATGTCCTTTCACATCTTCTATTTCTTTCCATCCTGGATTTATGACCAGAAACACAGACAACACTATTCTAAACTAATTTTGTTTAAAGAAAGGGGAAATTTGTACTTTTTGAGTTTATCCCAATTAAAGAGGGAATCTTATATTATATAGAACAGTGGAACAAGAGTAACTTGAATTCCAATTTCAACATTATTAAAAACCAAAGTGAACAATCCTAACTAGGCATTCTGTTTCTTTATAAATTGCACTAATTATATAAAATTCATTATTCACAAGGCTGTGAGGATCAAATGAGCTGATGGATGTGAAAGTGCTTTGAAAAGCATTAATGTTATAAAATGCAAATTATTATTAAGTTTATTAATCATTGAGTCACTGAAAGCCTCTTTAGTGAGAATCCTGCAAAATGTAAACCATTATCTTTCAAGAGCTGCTAGGAAATCCTAGACAGAACTTTTCTATCTGTGTTGTTAGTGTTGCCATAACCAACAGCAAAACTTTTCCCTCTCAATTGTTGACATTAGTGCTCGCCCGTCTCTCTGTACAGCACTGAAATGCGTTATCCAGAAGCTCCGTGCTCACAACAATCCAGCAAGACTTTAGACCTCAGAGTTATACTAGTTCATGACAGGCAGTACTGTATTCATAGTCAGCCAACCCTTGAATGCATGGCCCTGATTAAATTCCTGTCTCTGTCATGGAATTGGCATGAGTCATTTGGCCTGGAACATCATTAAAGCAGCAAACACACTTGAGATTAAATAAGAATGGATTCTAAAACATCCTCTTGAGGTTGTTATTGAGATCGTTAGCAAATCATGTTGGTTCCTTGAGTATCTTATAGAGTTTCAAGAAATAAAAAGCAACTGCTACATTGTAGAAAGTACATCTAAAATTTTCCTCTTATCCCAAGTGATTGACAGTCTCTCTGCATCCTCTGCCCCGTTACCAAGGATGATAACTCCTGTTCAGATGAATGAGTCCAGATTTTTCTCAGGTCTAAGCCAAATGTAACCCAAATATTTGAACAAGTCCATTGCTAGTCACTTTTTAGTTTTCAGAGATGAATAAAGCTATAAGTAAAATGCTTTCTAAAGCTTTACTATTGAAGTAATTTGATTTAAATCCCTTTTAAATAGGTCTATTTTAGCCTGTTGACTTTTATATTTCCTTAACAAATGTCTCTTATAAAGGAATCTTGTAAATTCAGTTAAAAATATAAATTAAGTCATGTAAGTCAAATTAAAGCAGTAGATCAAGTTATAAATTGAAACAAGTTTATAATCCCTCTCCTCTATTAACTAAGTTAAAATGTTATCTTCTGTGGCCTCATACAACAACCTCCTGAATCATAAACCACCTGAGGTTATGACAAACACTTAATAACTTCTTTTAAAATATCAAGGACTATTCCAAAAGACTTTTATTTCTGTTACTATAATGAATTTATGATTACTCAGACTTTCAGCTTTTGCGCTAACATTCAAATGTCATTGGGTTACTTATTCCAACACTTCTTCTATTACTATAGATGGTTAAAAGTTCAGGAGGCCCCTTTTGTCACAAAATCAAAGTATGTCGTGGTTGAAAGGACTATTTCATTCATTCATATTCAACTGATATTTTATTAAACATTTCCTGTTATGCCAGGCACTGAACTAAGTGTGTTCACATAGTTTACCTTATTTAATCATCACAACAACATTCAGGCATTGATATGATCACCTTTATTTACAAAATGAAGAAACAGAGACTTCTAGAGGTTAAGTTTATCATCCAAAATCACATTGCTAGTAAATGGCAGATTGAGATTGGAATCCTAGGTCCCTGACTCCAAGCCTAGTGTTTTTTCCACCATATACACTAGAATGATGTCCTCTTTATAACACACTCACTGGATCAGATCCAAGTTGTGTTCATGGAGAGCCCGGGACCACATGAGGCAGCCCTCTTCCTATTTGAGCATTTCAGACAACTGGAAAGATTTCCCTCATCCTGAACCATCATCTCTATTAAAGATGGAGAATGTCTCCATGAAGAAACAGTGGGTGTCTGGCTCTGGGTTCAAATTCCTGTGCCTGTAAGAACTCAGAAACACCTATGCACCTTCAAAATCCCCAACTCTGTGGAGATAAGGAAGAGCACCTGGCCTAAGTTTGACACAAAAGGGGTATTTAATAGCTGATTCATTCCTTACTCTTCTGTTTCCTTTACCAAAGTCTCAATGGCCCTTAAAACTAATATGCTGACACACGGTCAGTGGTCCAATTTGCTATGGCTATTCTCCCAATGCCCCAGGAGGCCTTGAAAGATATTGGCCTTGCTTGTTGTCCAATGTAGAATGGTAAATTAATGAGATCCTTGGATACCAGATAACACAGCTTGCCCTGTGTGTCCTCTTTCTATCTTATCACCCTGATGACTCAGGGCAGGCCTAAGTCCTAAAAGTTCTGAAGAAGTTTCCCTTCTTTCTTTGCCGTTCTTTCTGAGGCCCTCTCTGTGCGGTTGAGCAAGGAAACATACACACACACACACACACACACACACACACACACACACAAACAGAGCCAGGTGTGAGCTGGACCTGTCGGTTTCTAACAATAAGTCTTAGATAACAAGATAATTCTTTGTGTTTCTTAGGGTGCCACCCACACACCGTATCCATGCTTTTGTGTTAATAGCAGAGACTTCTCTTTCTGAATATATGAGGAGAGGAATAAAACAAGGGATGTGACCAAATAAATTCTTCTGACATGAGAGACCACTTTAGATTGCCTTATTACAAAGAAGCTGATTTGCAGGGTAAACACAGGCCATGCCCTGTAAGTTTTCTTATTGATGAAATTCATGCTTTGAATTACTGATTGATGGTTGCTGAAGGATGGCAATTTCTCTGTTCCAGTCTGGAGACTGCGCTACGTAAAACGAGCTTCTGATGATGGAAATTCTAAAATCCAAACAAAACATGGAAACAATTTTTTAAAACTCGACATCTATTTCTATGAGGAGCTAGGAGGGTGGATGCAATTGGTCAGCTCCAGCTGTTTCCTTGCTTTTATTGCACAGTTGTTACAAAGAGGAATTCAGTGTACAACTATGAGCTTCCGGCCGCTCAAGCTACTGCATTACACTACATGGCCATACTCTGATCCCAACATGAGCTTTTTTTCCTCTAGCCAAAGGATAATGTAAAAATTATGACACAAATAAAATATTTATCCTCTAGGCATGAGTAAAGGAATTCACAAATCAGAACATAGCTTGCAAGCATACAAGAGTATGCTTGAGCAGTCCCCTCTTTTTAATAAAAATCAACCATATGAATAAAAAGCTGCCCTGCCCCAACTTCACCCCCTACCCATCACAGACCACACCACCACCCCACCATCCCCGCATACATGCGTGCACACACATGCACACACACACACACAAAGCCACCCACTACCATTGCAGCAGGGAATCACTGATTTTTTTAAATTAAACTTTTAGAGAACCCATGAGTTTAGATGGAAAAAATCGTGGGAGAGTAGGAATAGTTTAAGGAATGTGCTTGGAGACCAGCCACTCTTCACCCAAAATGATTTCCTTTGAAATTCCTGACTTGTTCCCTTTCTGTCCTGTGACCTATTGTTCTATTAGGCCATTCTATTCTATTACAGCATCATTTGAATCAGTAGGAGTGGGTCTGGGAGGATGGTAATACCATCTCTTTAATACCTCAATGTGGACGGAATTGAAATGGCCAAGTCCTTACCCAGAAGAGCTGTCCTGAAGAAGGAGCATTGAGTTTGAAGGGAGGAGCCAGGTGTAATTTAGGAGTGGGGAAGACATTGGACAAGCTTTGAGGAGATAGTTAAGATGACTTCCATGAAAACAGAGAGCTGAAGCCTGTTAGTAACAGACTGGAAGGAAGAAAGATACTCCTTTCTTTGCTGATCTTGCCTAAAGCCAGCAGGTCTGCACTGGCAAAAAGAGAGGAAACTGTCTTTCTCTCCCCTCTGGCAGTTTCTCTTCTACTAAGATCCAGAATCCAAGCTAATGGCATTAGTGCTATAATTTGGTTTCACTACTAAATAATCTTTAGTTATTGATCCATGTTAGAATTTTGTACTATTGGAAAATGTATTCTGAGTTCCTAAAATCAATTTATATTATTATAATGTATGTACCGTACTATCATTATGTACATAGTATTAGCATATATAGCATTTCATTCCCTTGAAACCACTTGGTCTTCATACCCATCACTTAAAAATACTGCTTCATATTATTCCACCCAGTGGGTTTACCAAAATTTATTTAACCTAAATATTTCACAATAGGGAAATGGCAATTTCAATTTCTGTTCTTAAAATTGTTTCCAATTTTTTTATTGTAAATAATACTGCAGTAAATGATTTTTGCAAGTGGCATTTCAATATTTTACATTATTTATTGAGGATGGATTGCCAGATATGGAGAGGTAGAGTTAGAGGATGTAAAATGCTTAGGCTTTTCACGTACAAAGCTAGTAAGATTTTCTAAACACAGTGCCAAAGTACATGCAGTATACACTGAGAATGCCTTGTTCTCTGAACACTACCAGCAATGTTTTTCTTTTTTTTATTTTTATGAAGATAATAAGCTAAAATGGTAACCTATTTGCCTTTACTTCCTCCAAAATCCCTAGAAAAGGATTTCAAAATTTTTTTGAAGGTAAGAGTCAATCTAAACAAAGAGGACAGGAGAGGACAGCAACATTTAGAAAGACGGCAAGCAAATGGAGGAATAACACACTTAGTAGACAAAGGGAGGCCAACCCCTAAGCTGGTTGAGGGAGAAGCTCAAGAGCAGGCAATTATAAAAGGGCAGTTCCTTTTATAAGGAACCGACTCCTGCAATTACTGCCTTAACTCATTCATGAAGGTGGAACCCTCTGGGTCAGGCTCTGGTGAGGGCCCTCTTCTGGGTGGCAGAAGCTCAAGGGCATGGCTCCTCTTCTCTTTGCCCTTCTGCCATGGGATGATACAACAAGAGGGCTCTCACAAGACGACATCCCCTCGATCTTGAACTTTCCAGTCTCCAGAACCACAGCCAAGACATTTCTGTTCATTGTAAATTATCTGCGGTATTCTATTATAGCAGCACAAAATGGACTGAGACAGGCTGCTATAGCGGACTGCCATAGCAGTCTCTGTTGCACTAGAAGGCTCAGAAATGGGTAGCCCCTGGCACCTCAGAAAGATAGACTTAAAAACGGAAGGATCAGCTAAAAATTTCTATATGAAGACAATCTTCTCCTCACTCTTGCAGCTGGGTAACTGCCCCAGAGCCAAATAAGGCAGAAGACCCAAGATTTAGTGTCTGGAGGGGCTTCTTTTATCTCTTGAAGATTTGGAAGATTGTGTTTTCCAAGGACGGCTGCCACAAAAGCTCTCCTGACACCTGTGCTTCCAGAGCCAAGTGACTGCTCCATCAAGACGTGATATCTAGTTTTCCTCTCCAAGAATCTGGACAGCCTTGGGACTTGCTTAAGCCAACAGAATGTGGCAGAAATTATGCTGCCTGACTTCCAAAGCTAGGTTATAGAGCCAAGGTGACACGTGCCTTGGGGACTGGGCCATGCACATTGGAGTACTGATTGCCCAGGAAAGCAGTCAACTGCCCTGAGGCCACCATGCTCAAGGAACTGCACTAGGTTACGTGGATCGGACACATGAAAAAGCTTTGAGATGACCTAAGGAGGTAGAGAGAGGCCAAATTTCTGATTCACAGAAACCATTAGAGATAATGAAATAATTGTTGTTGTTTTAAACCAGCAAGTTTGGGGAGCAATCTGTTAGGTAGCAATAAGGACTGGAACAGAGAAGATGAATAATAGTTTTTTGGTTTTCCAAAAGAACTTACTCTCCAAGTATTATCTTTGTTTTTGCTAAATCCTTTGTATTAGTCTAGGCTCTTAGAGCGACAGAATCAAGAGGAGATATGTACCTATATCTGTATCTCTATATATGAAAGGAGATTTATTTGGGGAATTGGCACATGCAATTATGGCAGAAGTCCCACAATCGGCCGTCTGCAACCTGGAGAACCAGGGAAGCCAGCAGCATGGCTCAGTCCAAGTCTTAAGGCCACAGAACTAGGGAAGCCGATGGTGTAGCTCTCAGTGGGAGGCTGGAGCCCTCAGACACCGGGCGGCCACTGGTACAAGTTCTGTAGTACAAATACTGGAGAACCCAGAGTTCTGATGCCAAGGGCAGGAGATGTCCCAGCCCTAGGGGAAAGACAGAGAGAGAGAGAGAGAGAGAGAGAGAGCAAAAAAAGAAAAATAGAAGAAAAAACATGCATTCAAATCATTTTGTAACTCCTAATTATTAGGACGATAATAAAAGAAGATTCCAGATTCCAGACCTAGAGAGCAACCAGTACAGACTGAACAAGGAAGATGAAGAGCTCCATGGGGACTATCTTTGTCTTTAGTCTCTTTGGGCTGTGCTAAGGATTGAATGTGTCCCCCAAAAAGCATGCACTAGAAATGTAATCTTCAATGCAGAAGTGTTGGGAGGTGAGGCCTAATGGGAGATGTTTAGGTCGTGAGGACTCCACCCTCATGAATGGATTAATGCTGTAATTGCAGGAGTCAATTCCTTATAAAAGAACAAGTCTGGTCCCCTTTTGTGCACTCTTGCTCTCTCTCTCTCTCTCTCCCTCTCCTCTTTCCTCTGTCTTCTCCCTCTCTCTGTGTCCTCTTCTCTTTGTCCTTCTGCCATGGGATGTTCAACAAGAAGGCTCTCACAAGATGCCATCCTCTTGATCTTGAGCTTCCCAGCTAGCTTCCAGAACCATAGTCATATATTTCTGTTCATTATACATTATCTGCAGTATTCTGTGATAGCAGCGCCAAATAGACTGGGACAGGTTGCTATAGCATACTGCCATAGACTGGGTGGCTTCCAAAACAAACATTGATTTCTCACATTTCTAGAGGCTGGCAGTCTGAGATCAGTGTTCCAGCATGGTCAGGTGCTGGTGAGGGCCCTCTTCTGGATTGCAGGCTGCTGACTTACTGTTGTTTCTTCATATGGCAGAAGGAGAGTTCAGAGAGCTCTCTGGGTCTCTTTTATAAGGGGACTAAACCCATTCACAGGGGCTCCACCCTCATGTCTTAATCACTTTCCAAGGCCTCACCTCCTCCTACCATCAAGTTAGGGGTTAGGATTTCAACATGTGAGTTTTGATGGGAGACAAAAACATCTGGTCCATAACAGTCAAGAAAAATATAAAACAGTTTACTTCTGTTTCCTTCCAGTGGTGAGATAAGGGATGAGTTAGTGATGAGTGTGCAGAAAACAAGGCAAATGAAGAAACAAAAGATTGCACTGGAATGTAAATGCAAGTGTTTTACAACATATATGATCAAGAACAATGCAAGCTTGTTACTTAGAAATATGAAGTTGATGCCAAAAATAAGATGGCTTCTGAGGAGTGGGAAGTGGGGAGGTGGAGTGGAGACTTCCGTTAATGTGTTTCAGGGCTTACAGAAGCACTTGAGTCCTTTCTTAAAAATGTGTAAATTTATGGCGTACAAGGGTAATTTTGTTGCATGCATGGATTACATAGTGGTGAAGTCAGAGCTTCTAAGGTCTCCATCACTCAAACAAAATACATTAAATAAACTCTCGTCATCCACCCCTACACCCTTCTGAGTCTCCACACTCTATGTCCATGTGGACCCATTGTTTAGCTCGCACTTATAAATGAGAATATGCAGTATTTGTCTGTCTCGGTCTGACTTGTTTAACTTAAAGTCCTTAGACTATGTATGTCACAACATTCATAAAAACTGATCAACTTAAATACCACATTAAAATGATTACAGAAAAACGCAAGCAAAAATATAATAAAGTAATTTTTTCCCCTCCCTCAAAGCCAACTGATAACGAAAAGAAAGAAATGGATGACCAAAAAAAAAAACAAAAAACAAAAAAACTCTCCATGCAGTGAGCCGAGATCACGCCATTGCACTCCAGCCTGGGCTACAAGAGCAAAACTCCGTCTCAAAAAATAAAAAACCTCCAATAAAATATGGCAATGCTCATTGCCACAAACCACAAATTAGGAAGGATACGTGACACATGCCAACTACTTTGAAATTTGCATCAGAATGAGAGAGGAGGCAGTTAATTCATGTTTTCTTAACTTCACTCAAAGTTCAGCAATTCCTTTAGCTCTATTTCAGTTTCTTCATCCTATTGCTTTCTTATGAAATATGACTTTATTTTTTTCCTATAAAAGTAGCAGAAATGATTGAAAGTTCTTTGCATTTTTTGGCGGTGTTTGAATTTTTAATAAGGGCCACATGTGTCTTTCTAAAAATTAACCTATTCTCTTTTTAAAAATTAACAAATAAAAACTTGTTCTCTTTTTAAAAATTAACTTATTTGTTCTCTTTTTAAAAAATGAAGATTTTTTTCCTCAAAATGAATATACTTTTGAGGTAAGAGGATTTTCACCTAGTATTCTAAAATCACAAAAACAAGTTTATTATTTTTATTTTATTGCAAATATTTTTCCTACATGGTTATTTTCAGATCAAATAATAGGATTTTGGAAATACCAGCCTGACCATACTGCACAGATTGAGAGGTTAGGTACTAAATTATAGGCTTTTAGAGGGAGGTAAAGATATTAGAGTCCATCTCCACTCCACTCCCCACAGATAAGGGCCAAGGCCAACCTAGCCATTAGGTGGGGTGGACACAACCCACGTTTTGAGGGGCCCACACATATATGTTAAAATTTCTTTAGAAATCAGAAGAATACAAATGAACTTCGGGGTCAAAGAAAATATTTTAATATTTAACATTAATACATTTTCTCTTGAGGCCAACATTGTCATGAAATACACATTTTCATAATTTTTTTTTGTGGAAGAAAGGGACCACAAGGGCAAGTGTGCCTGGGGCCCATGAAAGTCATAATGTGGCCCTGATGAGGATTCTGGGACCTAAAAAGATTCCTGTAATTGGTGGTGGCAGAGTCTGGACCAAAGCTCAGGGCCTCTAACTCCTCCTCTATGGTGCTTTCTGCCATGCTGTTCTCTGGCTTGGGTATTCCACACACTCCATGGTCCAGCCCACACTCCTTATCTGACCTTACCTCTGGCCATCAGTCATAGTTCATCTTCTGCTCCAGTTAGGTAGGCCCAGCCTCATTTCCTGTAATTCATCACAAACACTCTCCATCCCAGCTCCATGGAGCCTCCCATTGTTCCTAGTCCACTGCTGTTCATTCCCAGCACTGGCTCTCACTCCTCCCACTCTCCCCATGTGGAGAATCCTTCCCGTTTCCTTCTGCTTGTTCAAGAGGATCCTCATCTCTGGAGACTTTGTCTTAACACTGCCTTTTTTTTTTTTTAACTGAAACAGGGTCTTGCTCTGTCGCCCAGGCTGCAGTGCAGTGGCGCAATCAGGGCCAACTGCAGCCTTGACTTCCTGGGCTCAGATGATCCTCCTGCCTCAGCCTCTCAAGCAGCTGGGATTACAGGTGCATGCCACCATGCCTGGCTAGTGTGTGTGTGTGTGTGTGTGTGTGTGTACATATTTTTTTTTGTAGAGACGGGGTTTCACCATATGGCCCAGGCTGGTCTCAAAGTTCTGGGTTCAAGCAATCCACCTGCTTTGGTCCCCAAAGTGTTGAGATTACAGGCATGACCCAACACTCCTGGCCTCTTTCAAGTACCTTTAAAGACTCCTCCAGCCTTGAGTGATCTACCCTATGTATAAAAGCATTTGCCATTTAGTAACAAATTATCTTTTCTTATTCATATTTGTCTTATATGTCTTAGTTTTCTTTCCCCAATTATCTTGTCAGGTCCTTAAGCTCAGAAGCGATATTAGTCAAGGTTCCCCAGAGAAAAAGAACCAGTAGGATAAGTATAATATAGATAAGAGGGAATTTATTATTGGAAGTGACTTATGCAATTATGGAGGCCAAGACAGTCTATGATATGCCATCTGTGAGCTGGAGGCCCAGGAAAGCCCATGGTGTAATTCAGTCTGAGTCTGAAGGCCTGGGAACAGGGAGCCAGTGTGTAACCTCCAGTCCAAGACGAGAGGCCTAAGAACTGAAGGAAGTGGGGTGGGCGGAGTCCCAGGGCATGAGAAGAAGGATGTCCCAGCTCAAGAAAAAAAAGAGACAACTTACCCTTCCTTCACCTTTTTGTTCCATCTGGCCCCTCAATGGATTGGATGGTGCCCACCCTTATTGGTGAGGGCAGATCTACTATACTCAGCCTACTGGATTGAATACTAATTTATGGCAACACCCTCACAGACACACCCCAAAATTATGTTTTACCAGTTATCTGGGCACCCTTAGCCCAGTCAAGATGACACATGATATTAACCATCACAGAAGCCATGTCTCATATACTCACTGAGCATATATATGATCAGCACTCAGTCAACACCCAAATGATTGTCAGAAATCTCTCACAACTCCCCCTACAATAATAGGGTCAAGTGCTACCTCTTCTGGGTGTCAGAAATAGGCTTGGCTTTCCTTTCTCTTTCTTGTATTTGTACCCTCTGTGATGAAAGTCACGCTGTCTGATTGCACATTCCTTCTGGGCAAGGGCTGATGTCTTCTCATTATGTATTGTCAGTCTCCAGCACAGTCTGTGCTACAAAGTAGGTGTTTGGTAAGTATTTGATGAATGAGCATTTTCTAGAACCAACTTTTAAATTGAATTTCTTGGTCCTGGAGATGTTTATTTTTCATGTGAGTTTTCCATCTCTGAAAAAAATAGGAAAAGAAAAGACAAGGAAATGAGAAAGCAACTTGAAAACAGGAAAATATTGGTGAAAGTTATTTTCACAGAAGTCTTAGTTGACCTTTCTCTGTAGCATTAAATTCCTTCCCTGTAGTATTAAATTCACAACCTAAGCTATAGCTAGCTTTCCAAACTAGACAAGCATCCCACTTAAGCACAATTGATCTCATTTCAGTTTGTGTCTTTGGGCAATGAAATACCGCAAAGACTTTTTCTACCTATGCTTTGATGCTTTTTAAAAAGTATTTTCTAAATATTTTTAAAATGTTTGAAATACACAATGATAGGATAACTCCAAAGCTGTCATATTTGTCAAATAATTCAAGTCAGAATTTAATATATCCTATAACTGAGACTCTTTTATAAAATTGAGACAGGCACCTGAAGACCATTTTTATTTCTGTATTTTCTTGGTGTCCCAAGCAACCCCCTTTAGAGAAATCACTAATATTTCCTGAGCAATTGAACCACAATAAAGACCGTGGAAAGAAAAAAAATGGGTCTGCTCAGACATTCAGAGCACGCATCCTTACAAATGCATTCTACTGACCTGCAAAATGTTAGTGGGAATTTATAAATGCCTACAAAAAGAATATCCAAGTCAACATTTGACCTGTCAAATCTAATCAGTTTGGTTTTGATCATTGTACCGGGTTGCTATTCGCAAACACTAATTGAAAGCAAAAACACAAACAGCATTTTTAAAGAGTTTCTAGGAGAATATCCCATTTGCACACACGTCAGATTAATTTTCCCCAGAGTTGAGCAATTTCAGGATCAATTGATTACTGATCCCAAGGAACAATCAAAAAAGAAATTCCCTGAAAAATTTTTTTGACTGTCAAGACTCAGCATGGGAAACTATGCCATGAAAATGCAGTTTGAATAGCTTGTCTTTTAATCCCAAGTGAAATAAATCAATCATCTATTAGACTTTTCTAGTTCCTTGTGTAGTCAGGGATAGAAGAGTTCGCTGCAGCAGGATTCGGAGGAACTGGGGGGATCTGGGTCCAGGAACTCGTCTGATCACTAGAATGGGGCAGGGAGTGAGCAGAGGAGTTTGCAGCACACAGTAGAGGAAGCTGGTAGGCACAGAATAGTAACTGGCAGGCTTACAGCTGGGACCAGAGGGGTCCAGCAATGATAACAGCTCCCGGCACTTTCTAAGTGTATTAATTAACTCATTTATTCACACAAGAATCCAATAAGGGAGATAGTTTTAATAGACCCATTTTACTAACATGAAAACTGAGGCATTGATAAATTAAGTAGCTTGCTCAAAGTGACCCATCTCTTTGGCAGAGCAAGGATTTGAACATAGACAATTTTGCTCTAACACCTGTGCCCTTAACCACTGACTTGTAACTGTTCCAGGGAGAAGATGAGCCTCTTTTGGGCAGCAGGGCAGTGGACAGCCACTGAAAATGTGAGAGCTGGCAATATTCAAAGAGGCACATTGAGATCCTTCCAGGAAAGTCTAACTGCTTGCACCAGGGTCCAGGCTCAAGGGAGGGATTCAGGGAGCAGCCCCTAGAAGTAAGTGCTTTCACTTGCTAGGCAGTGCTTCCCTGACTCTTAGGCTGCAAATTTCTAAAAGGAAAAAAAACAATGTTAAACACGAGTGCCAGTTTATATACCTTTATATATTCAGTTATACATTTTGTAAATATATTACAGAATTAATGTACATCATAAAATACACACAAAGGGAAAAAAATCATTCCTTTACATCAACAACCTACTATAAATTTACTTCAAATAGCATTCATCAGTACTAGCACTAGAAATGTGTGTCCCTGACGAAAAATATGTTTTTACATAATTTAGATCTTTTATTTTGAAATTTATCAGAAATTTCTTGATTAGAACCCAGTTTTCCTAGAATTATTCCCTACTTGTTAGATTATTTATCCACATATAGATGATTCCGTGAAAAAATGCAAAGCAAGACCCTTGATATATTGTGTAATCCTGAAACTATATATTAAAAACAAAATAGTCTTTTAGAAAGCCTGCAGCAGTACCCCAAAATAAAGGTCACCCAAGAAGAAAAATTCTCCCTAGAATAATGCCTTTAAATCCCGGAAACGAAAGCTCAAGTGTTTACCCGTTCTTTTTAACATTTTCAGAGCAATACAACAGAGTCAATGTATGAAATAAGGCATTGGAGTTCAGTGTAAGCTACCACCAATGACAGAACATGTCCATTCAGGGCAAAGATTTATTTTTCTGATTATACCAATGACCCACACATACACAAAGAAAAATTAAATTGAATTAAAAGAAAGCATTTCAGCAATCTTGACAGGCTTGAGCCCTCTGACAGCTCCTAGAATTCTATCAGCCGATCATCATCGTGTTGCTAAAGCCAGCTGCCTCTTGAAACCAAATTTAATGGAAAGAGGAGGAGCTCAACAAAGCAGCTTAAACATCTCACCTTCAAAGCTCATTGAAAACTAGGCTTCCTATCAGTCATGTGTCAAAGGTTCCCCTCATCCTACACCATACAGATTAGTTCTTCAAGTTCCATTTGTGTGGTCATCCTTTGAGTTTCCTTGAAGCTCTAAAAAGGCTAAAAGGTTATTTCCATCTGGAGCCACTGGAGCCTTAATCCATGTATCTTTTCCCTGCGCGAATCTCAACATGGCGGAACTGGAAAGTGAGACTCCCAACTTCCATGTGAAGGGAACGATGTCAGGCAGGCTGAGAAGCCTGAGGGTGGCTGGTTCCAAAGGGACTGACCCAAGCCTGTAGCGAGCAAGGAGGCTGCCTGCTACCCAGAGCCACCACCCCCCATGGCAGCAGATCACAGCCCCTGTTCTTTCTCTTTTGAAGCTTCAGGTTAGGGATGGGCAATTCATAGCAATTTGTCTTTGAGGTGATAGGTTTGGCAAAGGGGCATGATCCAAGAAGTAAGAAATGTGTGAGAAGTTTCATAAAGGTTGATGGCGATTGTGACCATGTGACCTGTGCAATCTTTAACTCATCGAGTATCTAATGTAGATTCTTAACTGCCTTGAGTGCTTTTAAGGGACTCCTTCTGTGGGGGCTTCATGGGGATTTTTCCTAATGGTTAAGCTATGTAAATGTCTTCCACAGCTCCTGTAAAATCTCCCATGCTGAAATAACTACATCCCTGCTCTACAGCTATGAGGATTGTGACCGTATGTGTCCCAGCAAGTGGTAGCCACCATCATAAGCTTTGGAGGACACTGTGTTCTTCTAGATACTCCCTGGGCCATCTTTTCAGATGTGCCCTTTCAGAAGTGGTCGCCCTTTCAGATATGTCCTTGTCTTAGCAGTTGGTTAAAGCTTCATAGGATATTTGTATTCAAGGTGCTAGTTCAAAAACATGACCTTGAATTCATAGCTGCGAAGCTCAACTGAGAGAAAACATATTTAGGAGGATGGAATCCACGCATTGCCGTAGAAAACTCCTTCTCACCCTGGTGGATACAACTTTTGAAAAATATTGATACCTGGGCCCCATCTAGAAATTAGTCTCATGTGGGTGCTCAGAGAACATAGGGAGGTCATTGGGGATGGAGTAGAATGAGCAAAGAAGAGAAGAAAATAGGGTGAGAGAAACAATGGGGTGTGGAATGGGGAGAAGAGGTGCAGATTAGGGAGGGCATGGCAGGCCATGGTAAGGGCTTGGCTTTTGCCCAGAGGGAGGTGGAGTTCATAGAGGGTTTTGAGCAAAGGAGTAACATGATATGACATATATTATAAAATGATCACTCTGGCTAAATTAATTCCTTTTGCCATTGCATCCTTAAAATAAACCTAAAAATGCAGAAAAACTGAAAACAGGAAATGATTTTCCAAGCTGCTACTCAAATGTCTAATAACAAGAAGTGACTAGAATCCTAAATCCCAGAATGGTCCACGTATTATCTCCCCAGATTCCTGATAGAGATATGTAGAAGGCACATTTCAAGCAGGCTTATATTGTTTTATTCTAAGAGGGCTGAACTGGGAATGTGAGGTTTCAAGTCCTTCTTTGCTTAGGTGTATCCAGAGGTAATACCCAGAAACTCAAATTTAGTGGTTTGAGATAGACTGTAGACATCCTGTTGTTAAAATGATTCCAATGCCCATGTCGAAAACACGTCTCCAAAGGCTGGAAAAATCAACTGACATTGACAAATGCTTTTAGTTTTCCTTTCTTGGACTCTATATAGCTGTACTGTCTATACAGTAACCACAAGCTACATGTGGAGGTTGGGCACTTGAAACGGGGCTAGTTCAAATTGAGATTGTGCTATAAGCATAAAACACTCAGTAGATTTTAAAGACTTAGCATGAAACAATAGGTTTATGTGTTAGTCAAGGTTCTCCAAAGAAATTGAACCAGTAGGATAGAGAGAGATACATAAGAGGGGGTTTCTTAATGGAAATTGGCTCATGTTATTATAGAGGCCAAGAAGTCCCATCATATCCCATCTGCAAGCTGGAGAACCAGGAAAGCCACTGGTATAATTCAGTCTGAGCCCAAAGGCTTCAGAACCAGGGGGACAACTGGTGTGAGTCCTGGAGTCCAAAGGCTGGAGAGCTAGAAGCACCAACATCTGAGGGCAGAAGAAGACGGATGTCCCAGCACAAGAGAGGGTGAATTCCCCTTCTTCTGCCTTTTTATTCTTTCCAGGTGCTCAATGGATTGGGTGATGCCCACTGACAATTATGATCCTCTCTATTCAGTCGACTGACTGAGATGCTAATCTCCTCCAGGAATGCCCTCATAGACACACTCAGAAATCATGTTTTATCAGCCATGTGGGCATCTCTCAGGCCAGCCACATTGACACACGAAATTAACCATCACAATGTAAAATGTCTCAATAATTTTTACATAGATTACATGTTGATAAAATATTAGATATACTAAATTAAATACAACATATTATTAAAATTCATTTCACTTTTTTACTTTTTAAATGTGGCTACAAAAGAATTAAAATTACAAATGTGGGTCCCATTACACTTCTTTTCTTTCTTTCTCTCTCTTTTTTTTTTTTTAAAGACCTCTGTCTCCCAGGCTAGAGTGCAGTGGCACAATCATGGCTCACTGGAGCTTCGAACTCCTGGGCTCAAGCAATCCTCCCTTCCTAGCCTCCTGAGTAGCAGGGATTACAGGCATGCACCACCAGGCCTGGCTTTCACATTATATTTCTACTGGACAGGACTGATGTAGAGCTTTTCAAAGACTCCTCTTACATAGGAATCATAGCCCTCTATGATAACCTTCAAAATACACCTACGATGCTACCATTCTCCGCAGTAATTTTTTTAAAGAAAAATGCTAAATTGCTTTTTTAGATCTTTCTTGTAGGCAAGATATAAATAGAAGGCTTTGAAAGGCAATACAACATAGTAGTTAATAGTAAGAACTTGGTAGATGTGTGACTGCAGGCAGGTTGTTTACCTTCTCTGAATCTCCATTCCCTCGCCTGTAGAATTTGAATAATATGTACCCCATGGTGTTGTGAGACTAAATAACATAGTCCTTAATGCTCCATAAATGGTAGAGCCTTTGTAATTGGTGCTGAAATTTAAAGACAATGTGGAGTTATCTTGGATTCAGGTGATGAGATTCAACATAAGAAGCAATGCCTCAAGTCCTTGCACCAACAGAGGTGCAGAAATTCATCATCTCCCTAATGAATCTTGAGTTTTCTTTATACTTCTGTCATTTGATTAGAAACAAACTCTCAGCATGTCAGATTTATATTCAAATCTCAGAATAAAAATAATTACAGAAGCAAAATGTCATTTGGAAAGGGTGTGTTTGGTGGTCAGAATTGTGGTTGCCACGTGCCTTCGCTAAATATCATGACTAAAAGGGAAAGACATGCAGATCTTTGCTAGGAAGGCAAGAGAAAGAAGAGGTGAATAAAAGGCTTGAAGCTCTTGCTACTCTAATCAAATTGTTTTATTTGTGAGAGTTCGCTTTAGCTTGCTCTTTATGTTTGAACCTAAGTCTTTTCACCTGTGACCTCATCACCATTTTTCTAATATTGCTCAGCTCATTAGCCTTGAAATTTATAATTTAGTTTTTACACCATTTTATCCTATTTCTTCCCATTGCCAAGCACAAACATTTACTTTGTAAAAAAACGTGACTGAATTTATTAAACCAGTTTGTCTTCAAAAGTTTCCCTTTTTTATAGACATGGGAAGACTCAAATAGTTGGTTTCCCTAATTCTCAGGAGACAAACCAGTGAAGCTGAAGCCAGTTTTGTATGCAACTAAACTTTGTGCCCCGTCCTTTGGGTCTCCAATTAGAATAAAATCAGGGATGGGCAGGCAGCGTGCATTTTAAATCACCATCCATGGTCACTATTATTTCCAAACTCAAAGGCACCATTAGAACAGGGAAACATTTGCAGGCATTTCATTACACCTTGAACTATTAAAAAAAATAAGACATTAGAAAGAAGTGATTACTTTAAAACTTTCACACACTATGGAACAAAAGAAATGGCAATACACAGGGAGATATTATAGTAAACAAATTGACGCACACGGTTGTTGTTAGTGAAGGACAGTATTACAAGCAGATGAGGCAAATGAATGAGTTGGGAAGAGAGTCAATCTCACTTCCTGAAGCAGGGGCCCTTGAGAAGCCTGTGCCTTTTAGGCTGTTTCTTTGTAGGATTGGCCTGGGTGCTGAAAATAGCATAGAGCCTTTTGCAGAATCCTTTATTTCAAGGAGTTGCGGTATTTCATATGTGGCACGGCCCCTCCCTTCAATGGCCTCTCTCCTGCCACTGGAAGGTGTTTTTACAGTTCCCCTTGTGACAAAGGACAGGTCAGAGAGCAAACCTGTGAGCAAATCAGGCTTGGCACGCACATCACTAAGCAACAGATGCTTTCTGGAAAACCATTTGGGAGTGTTTCAGATAGTAGTATGTGTGTGTATATACAAACATATACATAATTTCTGGGGAAAAAATACATACATACATGTGTACATCCATACTTTCTGAAAATCACACACACGCATTTTCCAGAAACTCATTTGAGGTTGATTTTATGTGTACGGAGACAGAGAAAGCCATCCATCCATATAGAAAGCCTTTTGCAAGTATTTTTAATTTATTTCATAGAAGCCTGAATTTATTTCACACAACAATGAATAAATCCATTCTTTTGCCACAGACGTGGTGCAAAAAGAGGGGTGTGCTTGAAGCATCTACAAAGGGGAAAAAGCTGCTGATACAGGGAAAAAATATTAAAGTAAAATTTTAGTTGTCAGCTTTGTAATTGAAGCTGTCTCCTCACTTGAAAATATTGTTTCCACTGAAGTAGAAGACAAAGGGGGATCTGGCAAATGCCCCCACGATGTTCATTTCCCCAGATAAATTACACACATCGTGTGTGCATGAAGATGACCAGAGGCTCTCACTGTGCTGGGGATACAGTCCAATCATTCATTCAAGGCTCTGTGTAGTCATACAACAAACGCGTGGCCTAAATCCATTCTTTTTCTTCTTTTTCCTTTCTCTTCTCATTTTTTCTTTTTTCCTCCTTCTTCTGCCAAAAGACAGATAAAGTATAATAACTTTGATGACAACCTCATTTTCAGGATCTCTCGATAAATCATAATCCTTCAGTTGTATTTTCCAAAACCTGCAGTTAGCCAATTACTTCTTGGTTTCCTTGAGGTGAATCTTTGCTTTTTAATTATATTTTATCTTCTTCAAAGAAACCACTATTGAAAAATTATAGCTAATGGTAGAAATACATCACTAAGATGTCTTGGATTTTCTTTTGGGGAGGAGAGGTGGGGGAATAAAATGAAAAAAATATGTATATGGCCAAATTGGTCTGTGATACCATTAATTCATGTTCATTAATTCAAACAGTGTACATTGCATACCTACTATGTGCTAGGAGTTGGGTTGTACTCCAGAAATAAAAAGTCAAATAAAACGTGTTTCCCTCAAGGAAACTATGTTCTCCAGCATCTGCACATGTAAACTACCAATTCCAGTTTAGTATGACAAACTCTTTGGAAGTATTATATTTTGAATGTATTTCATCGAGAAATGAATGTGGGCCAGGCAAGGTGGCTCACATCTGTAATCCCAGCACTTAGGGAGGCTGAGGTGGGTGGATCACCTGAGGTCAGGAGTTCCAGACCAGCCTGGCCAACAAGGTGAAATTCTGTCTCTACTAAAAATACAAAAATTAGCTGGAGGTGTTGGCCTGAGCCTGTAATCCCAGCTTCTCAGGAGGCTGAAGCACAAGAATCGCTTGAACCCGGTAGGCAGAGGTTGCAGTGAGCCAAGGTCGTGTACTCCAGCCTGGGTGGCCCAGCGAGAGTACATCTCAAAAAAAAGAAAAAGAAAGAAAAGAAAAGGAAAAAAGAATTTCTAAGTCTGGTTTTCATAGAAACAAGTGCAAAACAAGCCAGAGGGGTCATTGCCAAACTAGAAAGAAGCCCAGGGCCAGAATATGCAGGGTTAGTGGAGAAGCCCAGTGCTCCTGGGCCTGACCACCTCTTGGACTCGGTATACCATCATAAACAGCATTCAGTAAACATCTTTTTTGAAGAGGCATAGTAAAGAACTACCTGCTAAGAGTCCAGAAACCCTGTGAGGCCTCAGATAACTTTAGTAGGAAATAACCAAGCTCTTGAGTTGCTTGAAGTAGAATCCCATTAGCTTCTAATGCTTCCTGTATTTGCGCCCCATTCAAGGAAGCAACTCTAGAGAATTTCTTTGAATCCTGTTACTTCCATTTGATGAGTGAGACTCAGCTGTGATAGTCTATCTGCTTTAAGACTGCCGATACGATGTGGCATGTTCTCTAAAGAAGGCAGAAGGCTTGAGGACGGTTTGTGTTGATTGAAGAACATTTCAGTGATGAGTTGGAATATTTAGACAAATTTCAAGGCTTAATTAATATATGAAATAAAGTAGTTGCAGAGATAACGAGGAAAACCAAAGTTATAATCTATAGTTCATTTACCTTCCTTGGTCAGGGCAAATATTACAAAAGATATGTACTGCTTTTACAATAATCAGCAAATGGGAATGACTTTGAATTTCAGAACACATATGGGAATGTCATCAACTTCGACTTTGAAATGTGGCTTTTTAAAATTAAAATATAAATCATTCTATTGTTAACAAAAGTTTATCAAAAGTAATAGGGCTTTTGTAGATTTTTGGTTTTTCTTTTCTATTAAGATCTTTACTGGTAGAGAAAAATAAAATTTTATTAATTCAAAGATTCCATTGTGTTTTTATGTTTGTGAGTAATAATCAGTGGTTCCTGGTATCTCATTTCGTTTTTAATTCCCAAAGCAGGAGCTAATAAGCAAATCGCTTTGTGGGTTTCTGTGAAAACAGCTAGAGTTTGCACAATCGTCGCCTAGACAGAGGGAGGAGTGTGGGCTCTGAAGTTCAGCAGATTTGCATTTGACTCTTGACTCTGTGATTAGCTGGGTGTCCTTGAGTAAACTACTCCTGTAAGCCTCAGTTACCTCATCTGTAAAATAGGGATGATGACATCTGCTCAAAGCGTTGCTGTTGAGTAATTAGGTTAAATGAGATAAAAAGTGCCCATTGGCACCTATTGGAACTCAGTAGGAGCTCATGTCTTCATGGTGTGTAAATATGTACCTGGCTCCCATCCACAAGAGTCCTCGCTGAATCAACAAACTCACAAGTGCCTCTTTTCACTAGACTGAGACTAAAACCGCGAATTAAAATGGTGTTTGTCCTCAAGAACCACTAGGGTCAAGAATTCTACATGGCTCAGGCAGATCAGCTGAGCACGTGAGAAAATAAGGAATATGCAGTCTAAGTACAGAGCTCAGATGAAGCAACTTGCTGCCTATCAACAGAAAGGGTGGAAACACCCTGGTGTGTGCAACAGGCACAAATCATGTAATTCAGTAAGTCTACAAATATGTAGTTAAAGAAACAATATAATTTCTAAAAGCAGTCTCCTCGCAGCAAACTGTGAAGTTAGCAGCACAGAAGCAAACTGAGGCAGAGTCACTGGATTGGAGACAAGCTGATTTGTGAAAGCTGCTTGAGTAATTGACCAACCTCTGCACAACTATGTTGCAGTTTACTAAACCAGTATAAAGGAGAAAAAAAGCAGTAGAAATTAAGAGCATTCGTTAAGCTGTAAGTCCTTTCATTCTTTTGGATATATTATTCTAAATGCATCTTATAACATTTTCATTAATAAACTGCTGTTTTAATTAATGATGAGGTCTCAGTCAACTGAATGACATTTCTTTCAAGAAGCCCACTTCATACGCACACAAAAGAACCCTGAAATTTTTCACTAAAGGAAAGGCCAATGTGATCCAACTAGTTGAAGAATATACTATTGCAATTAAAAAATCATTTAATTCCATTCGGCTCAACTCAATGAACATTTATTGAATATCTGCTGGAGGCCAGGGGCTAGCTGGGATTAGACACAGTTCTTCCTTTCAGAAACTCACAGTCTAGAGAGAAGCCTGGTGCATGAATAAGGCATTCACCTTTAACCTCCTTATCCCTGTTCTGTTCCTTCCCTTCTCTTCCTGGTAAGGCACGCTTATTTGCAAAAGACTTTCTACATGAAAAAAATATATATATGCATATAGGCATATACACACACATGTATAAATATTCATATATACCCTCAAAGTAGTTTCCCAAAATTACTTGTGTGTATACAAATATTCATGTTCATATATATATTTTTTTATAGAAATGGGACTATGGTGTTGTATTAATGTTGGTTTCCTGACTCCAACTTGCTCTCACATGGTTCAGGAATTACATATAATATATATTATAATATATTTAATATACTAGATATGTAACATTAAAAATTATTTTAATTATATATAATATAATGTTAAATATAAATATATTTAAATTTTTAATATTTATATTTAAATTTTGACTACCATTTGTATTATATCTAAATATAACATATTTAATATGAGAGAGAAAACAAATATAGTGAAATGTTAAAAGTTAGGGAATCCAGATATGGATGATATAGGAGTTATTCATACTATTTTTACAACTTTTCAAAATTATTTCAAGGTATATTGGTCTTGTAAAAAATTTTAAAATAAGGGATTCAAGACCTTCCTGGCCTCAATCCTGCCTTTCTTCAGCAGCACCTGCAGCCGTACATCACCCCACATTTAATACCAAGTTATGTCCAACATCCTCCCGCTGTCGTTCCTGACGCTGACTGCACATTAGACTAATCTGAGAAAATGCTGAAATATGCCAATAGGCAGGCCTCTCCCCAGACAATCAGATCAGGACTCCTGGGAGTTTGCTCCAGCCATGGTTTTTTCCAAAAACATAGCCTAGGTTGGGAAGCCTGGAGGCCTGTTTCCCAAACACCATGCTGCTGCATTCCTCATGCCTTGGTGCCTGCTGTTTCCAGTACTTGGAGGGTCCTTGTCCACCTCTTCAGTACTGTAGATTCCTATTATTTTGTCAGGATCCAACTCAGATGTCGCCTTCCTTAGTGAAACCATCCAGGCATCCCACGCCCCACCCACAGGTAGATCCCATCCTTCCCGCCTCCTGCTATTTATTTCTACACACTCTCCTTCTACAGGTTTCCCACACTGTTGTAATGCTGTGTTTGCTCTGTCTCCCAACCCACCGCAAACTCCGTTTGGGAAAAGTATATATCATGTTTGCTTTTGTCATCAGCATGAGCCTCACATATAGTAGGAGTCTAAGAAATGTTTACTAAATTAAATGCAAACAAGGTTATACTTGTTGGAATAAAGTTATAACAAGGAGCTATGGGACACTTGAGGATGTGCACTCTTACAGTGCAGGCGGCACTTGCGGAAGGAGATGGAGCTCACGCAGAATCGAAGAGTGAATAAATAGCTAAGTAGTCGGGCAGGAGAGGGAAATGGGAACAGCCCGCCTCTTAGGCTGGCTGGAGCCACGTGGAGTACGCGAAGGAGAATGGCCGCTGAGGCCAAGAAGGGAGCCAGTCCAGACGATGAAGGGGACCAAGAGCGTTAGTCACTCTGGAAGCAGAGTGAGCACCTCGCACTGCGCTGGCACACAGATGCCTCTCAGTCAAGCATTTTAGAGAAATAATGAGTGAATTCTTTTTTGCTCTTTTTCTTTACATTTGGCAGGGGAGTCATGGGACCGGATTGAAACTAACTTTCTTCCCAGAAGAATGTATTTGCACATACTTTCCCGAAAATGTCAGAAGATTTACAGGTTTTCTGAAATGTATTCAGTGACACTTCCCCCAAAATGATATGCCACATTCTAAGAAGAGGGATATATTTTAGGTTTAAGAAGGACATGGTTAGACTAGGATGTAAGGCGGGTCACTGAAAGTCTGTGAAGGACAGATTATAGGAGGTAAGATGCCCATTGGAGGACACCCTTTAAGAAGTCATCACAGCGTGGTGGCTCACGCTTGTAATCCCAGCACTTTGGGAGGCCGAGGCGGGCGGATCACGAGGTCAGGAGATCGAGACCACGGTGAAACCCCGTCTCTACTAAAAATACAAAAAAAAATTAGCCGGGTGTGGTGGCGGGGGCCTGTAGTCCCAGCTACTCAGAGAGGCTGAGGCAGGAGAATGGCGTGAACCCGGGAGGCGGAGCTTGCAGTGAGCCAAGATTACGCCACTGCGCTCCAGCCTGGGCGACAGAGCGAGACTCCGTGTCAAAAAAAAAAAAAAAAGAGGTCATCACAGGTGCCAAAGTGAAACCCAAGTGCCTGAACCAGAGGCATGACAGAGCTGTGCCCAAGAGAGAACAGATGCAAAAGGTTACGAGGCAATGCAAACAGAGAGCTTAGGGTGTCTCTAGGCTTTCTGCCTTTGAGTGACCATGCAGATGCAGTGTCATTGGTCAAACTAGAAAATTCGGGGAGAGGATCAGATTTGTGGGAAAGGATGAATTCCATTGTGTGAAGCTTGAGTTTGGGTTTCCCATGAAAGAACAAGGCGGAGTTTCCCTACAGAAAGTTGCAGGTTGGGAGTGATGGAGATGAGGCTCTCCTGATGAGTGAGTATAGAGTGTGATGGAAGAGGAGCACTGGAGGGAAAACCTCAGTGCCCCAACATTTTCAGGATACACGGAGGAAAAAGAGCCAATGCCTTACAGAGAAGCTGAAAGAGGGGAAAGGAAAACCAAAGAGAGTTTCCAAAGGCTCCAAGAGTTGAGTAAATCAAATAAGGGCAGAAGTGGTCTGTTCACTTTGGTAACTACGAAGTTCATGAACACCTCAGTGACAGCAACTTCACTTCAGTGAATGGAGTTCAGGCCAAAATCAATGATTAGGAAGTGAAAATGAGGAGATGAGAAGGTTTCTAGAATTTCCCCAGTTAGATTGGGAAAATCTAACTGGACCTCTGAACAGCATTCTAACCTATTGGTCAGCTCCTCTTTCTTGAAAAACCCTTTTTCCTTGGCCTCATTCAGACCTCGTGTTCAAGGGGTCCCCGGGGTGCCCTAATTACTTCCTCTCTGTTCTTCCTTTGCAAGCTCATTTCCCTGTCCCAGTTTGAAAAGGGTGACTTCTCAGGGCCCTCCTGTCTTCTCTCTTCACACACTTCTCCCAGGGAATTCTATCCATGCTTGCATTGTAAATACCATCATAAAAATGATTTTAAAATGAATATTTCAGCCCAGACTTTTTTGGCTCTTTGACTTCTATGCTTCCCTGACACAAAGGCACCTCAAACTTGACCTGTTCAAAGCTGAACTTTGTTGTTGTTGAAACAGCATCTCACTCTGTTGCCCCAGCTGGAGTGCAATGGTGCCATGATGGGTCCTTGCAGCCCCGACCTCCTGCACTCAAATGATCCTCCCGCCTCAGTAGCTGGGACTACAGGCTTGTGCCACCACACCGGCTATTTTTTTCTTTTCTTCCTTTTTTTTTTTTTTTTTTAGCGACAGGGTCCCCCTATGTTGTCCAGGCCAGTCTTAAACTCCAGGGCTCAAGCGACCCTCCTGCCTTGGCCTTCCAAAGTGCTGGGATTACCGTGTGAGCCACAGCACCCAGCCAAAGCTGAACTCTTGATACCTGCCATATCCCCAACCCCACCAAGATTGCCTGCCTCTGTGTTCCCATAATCAGAAATTGTCACCACCATCTATCCAAAAATCCGAGTCTGTCTTAACACTCTTTCCTTCACCTTTTTAATTCCTAAACATCATCAGATTCTGTCCACTCTACTACTCCAAACCATCATTATATTTATTCTGTCCCATTGCATAGCCTATTCAATGGTCTACCTATATTCCCTCTTTTCTCTTTCCAATGCATTCACCAAAATGCAGCCAGAATGAGCTTTCAAAACTGAAATCAGATTATGTCACCTTTGCTTAAAACCTTTCAGGAGTTACCCGTTGCTTTCTGTGTAAAAACCAAAATCCTCAGAATACCACGACCTTTCTATCTAGCCTCACTTCCTACTATGGTCTCCCCTGAGGGTTTGTCATCTTGGCCTCCACTACGTTCATCCTCGACATTCTCTTCTTCCTCAGAGCCTTTGCACATGCTCTTTTCTCTTCCTAGAATACTTTCCCTACCCCCGTTACCAGCAAAATCTCACTGGCCTTCAATTATTAACTTAAATGTAATTTACGACCTGCTAAATCTCTGTCAGCTCATAGTTCACAGATGGCAGTTATTACATATTTGAAAGAATGGATTAAAAAGACTGAGTGCTAGCCAGAGGAAAATAGAGGTTCAGGGTAGGGGGGCCTTTAAGATGAGAATGATTTAAAGCCCACAGCAATGAAATGATTTGCCTGGCCAAGGTCAAAAAGCGAGTTGGTGGCAAAGCCAGGGCTGCAATCCACGACTTTTGATTCTTGGCCTCCCCATGTCCCACACTAATCCTTTATTATATGTCTTAGATGAAGTTAGCTGTAGTGAAGCCCTCATCTCATTTGCTGTCCCCAAAACATTCTAACCTGTTGACCACCATGCACAACAGGAATACGTATTAACACAGTTTCAGGAGCATGACCCAGGAAATTCTATAATAGATGCAAACTATCTTCCTGTTTAAGACCCTAGTAGAGTTGTTCAGTGGTGCTGCTCTTAAATTCCAATCCAAGAAGGCCACCCGGCTCCCACACAGTCAAGCCATAGCTGATTGATGTGTTTACAGTAATATACTTCACACTTGTGTCTTGTGGGCCACACGTGCCACTCAGGATAAACTTAGAGATTTTTCTTTGGCATTTTTTCTCCATTGTACAGATTCAGACACTTAAAGCTTATTACATAGAAACTGACCTAGAAGTGACCGGGCCTTTGGAGAGAATGGCAGGAAATTGGTTACAATAGATATGGACCCACCTGGGGAAACAGAACTAGCAGAGGTGAACGTTAACCCATCCCAGGTCCAATGTTGTTAGTCCAAAAAGATTACAGTAAGTTGAAGAAAACATCAAACAAACAGAATAAAAAATTCAGCAAGGAAATTCAGAGTGGTACACTTGGGGAGAAAAAGCAGATTTTGCCAATGTAAGACCAGGAGAAAAACTGGTTGTGTTTCAGCATTGCAGTATCTTGGGAGAATAACAAAACAAGTTTAAGCAGAGTTGTGCCATGCAGATTGCCTGGAAGGAACCAGGCCTGCCTGATGCAGAATCATGATGCATGCAGAGGATGATGTCCAAGGTCCCCGGGAGCAGAACTCCATAAAATTCACTTAACTCTTTTACTAGGTGACTAATTAAAAAGCAGTTAATGAGAGTGATCATTCTGGGCAATGGAATTCAGCCATGAAAGTGGTTAATGACCTGAGGCTGCAGCTCAGTTCTATGCCTCCTCTAGCATGGTTCTGGCTCCCAGGAGAGCCTCCTAGACTTTAGCAGAAGCTGCACAGAGCTTCAAGAATCCAGGATATCTGGGAAGAGGTAGGAGAGCGCATTGGGCGACAGAAAGGAGTAAGCAAATATTAAAGGGTTTATTTACAGCAGAAGGTAAAAAGAAAGAAGCTCACCACAATGGGAGCTCAATAAATGTGGTTTGCTTGAGCGACTACCTTGCTGACTGAAGGAGTGGATAGAGCACGTGCATGAGGCAGCTTGCACAGTCTGGGAGACCTCGCTTCTCAGCTCCTTATTTAATGACATCATGTTGGTAGCTTGAAGTCGGACAAGGTGGCAGTATTGACATCATGGGAAATAGGCAAAAACTATAAATCAGAATTTTTCCCTCCCCCTCAAGCCAGTTGCTTAACATCTACCAACTTACCATTGGGTCACTTCGTTGAAATCCCTGTGGGAGCAGAGTTCCCTGGGGTTCTTACCTTAAGAATAAACCTGAAGGCGTTTTGGTTTTGCTTTCCTATTTTAATTACTAATATACAGTGGCACTCTTCAGTAATCTTTTATTACACAACCAGAGTGGCTCAGCATTTGTGAAGTCTCCTGGCAAACTCACCATCATTTAAAACATTGTTTCTGTGGGGAAGTTTTCCAAGTTGCAAGTTACTGAGTCTAAAATAAATTTTTGGAAAAGAGCCCATTTGCAAGTTGGGAGCTTTCAATTCTGAGTCCTGATAGGAAAGTTAGAAAACAAAAAGAATCATGCCAATTTTAAAAATATAGGTTGCAAAATATAGGTTGCAAAATCCTAAGTGAAAAGGCAAAAGGAATAGAATTATTTAACTTGGAGAAGAGAAAGATGAAGAGCAATTGAATAATAGGAGTGAGTGCCAGCTGTTGTTTGCTTTTGGTTTCTGTTTTTTGTGGGTTTTTTTTTTTCTCCCACTGTAAGCCTCGGGGATTTGGTTAAACAAGGAGATAAATATCTTTATGTTATTATTCTGGAATGAATAATTGGTGGATTTTATGTCAAACATCTGCAAACTTCTTTTCCTCAATCAGGGATAATTTACATATAACCTGTGATGAGGACCAAGAAATAGTTAAGACAAGGTTATTTGTCTACTTGAAGGTTAACTGTCAACTTTGTGACCCTGAGTCCACAGATGGCATAATGTATTTCAAAACTTTGAGAAACATGATATAATTAAGCAAATCCTTTTTATATCATAGAATATCTAAATACAGAATTTATTATTTTTCTATCAAAAATGATTATAAAACTTAGACTATTAGCATTATCTATAGTAGTATTATATTGTCTATATCTGTTAGTATTGTCTATTACTAGTATCTATATTACTAGTACAAAACCTTAAACCAAGCATTCTAAATCAATACTTTTTGATAATTTTACGAGGGAAATGATGCTATTTTGGGCTTGTTAATTTAGAGTTATTTTCAGTTATTCATTCAGAAGAGATGAGAGAATTGCTTTCTTTTAGAATATCTTTTAGATATTGCAGTACCCTGATTTGGCATTTTCTTAAAGAGATGTGAAACAATGAAATGGCAGCTGTAAATCTGCCACTTGGAGCCTTAGAGGGCTTACATCACTCCCAGGCTTTGCTTTAACAGTTGGTTTATGATGTGGTTTCAGAATAACACTTTTGAACATGGTATATCCCTTCCTGCAAAACTGACATAAATCCATAAAGCTTTTAATGATGTCTCTAAAATACAGCCAAAGTAGTCTCTGAGGCATATTTTTGGATTGTTTATCTGAAATCTCTAGATTGCTGAATCTCCCTTCATGATCTGCCTTGGAATGGCTGTCTCCAGGGCAGCTGATAAACGCATCATGTCTCACCCAGGCGGGGACCACTCAGCTTCGTGCCCCATCAGGTACACTACCCTGCCTCAGCTTTCACCCCAAGCATCTCACACCCTTGTGCGCATAAGTATCACCTGGGGACCTGCGAAAAATGCTGCTTCTCCAGAACCCCTGAGCTAAATTCTGGGACTAGGCCTGGGGACCAGCATTTTAACAGGCTCCCAGGAAAGTGGTCACAGAAATGATGTGAGAGTCTCAGCTCTACATGCTCTCTGACTCCAGTTCTGGCTTCGGGATGGAGTAACTGGAGAGAGGCTGACAGGTGGAAGCTGAGGTTCTTGCCGGTGACACGCTGCACCTGTCACTCAGGTGCTGGGGTCTCTGCTGCCCAGACCCTTCCCTCCCTAGGCCAGGTTCTGTGCTCCTCAGTCTTGAATTTCAAGCGCCTGGTATGCGTGTCTTCTCTTGCACATCATCCTGCCTGCCCCACTGTGATTCATTTGAATGCCCCAGCCTCCATCTCTAGCCTGCCTCCCACCCTCCCTCCAAGTCCCAGGTCCACCTCTTCTCACCCCCGCCAGAGCCTGTTCTCAGGTAATGACCCCCCACATTCTCTAGCAGAACCTCTCTCTGTGGCAAACTGAACTGCTCAGTGTGTTTTCTCCAGGCGGCCCGCCCTGCCTGCCCTTCCTGACTCCTCCTCCCTCCCCTGTCCTCTGTTAGACACATTTACAGAAGCCTGTCCTAGGAGTGTCCATCTGCCCCATCAGACTCTGAACTACTGAGGGCAGGGGTCACCTGTGCCTTGCTCACGGGATCCCCAACACCCAGCTGAAATGTGGTGGGAGCCTCGGGGGTCTCAAGTGAATGACTGATTCTTAAAAAGAAGCACGTGAAGTTTGTCCAGGCGGCATGATGCCTCAGACTTCAGACCCTCTCACTGCCAATACACTGTGCCTTCAGCTAGAAAGCTAGTCTTCATCTCCGCCACCTACCTGTACTTGGCTACCCACCTCTGGCCCTCCAGGTCCCAGCTTAGATGTCTTTTCCCACAGCAAGTCTTCCACCACCCCTGTGTTCCAGGGGGCCCTGTGTCTACCTGATCCTGCACTTACCCCTCTGCATTCTAATAATCTGTTTACCTGAATCCTCCTCCAGGTCCGGAGCTCCTTCAGAGCAAGAGTTGTCAGCACCCAGCATCGTGCCCAGGGTGCAGTCAGTGCTCAATAGATGTTTGCTGAAAGCTAACTCAGCACATTTAGGTAGTGAGATGGGGTTCTCATCACATAGCTGCTAAATAAACCGCCATAACATTCACTGTATTGTACTCACACTGTTGATGCGTCTCCTCCCACAACCACTGCTAGATGGAAATCTTCTCATGGGAAGTGATTGTATTTTGTTCATCTTCACACTTCAGTAAGTCAGGCAGCAATGAGCATGGATTAAGTAGCTGTTCAATCCTATGTTTTCCAAGAAGGATAGTTTTGGCATGTGGAGCAGGAGAATTCTTTTTTTATTTTTATGTATTTATTTATTTTTGAGATGGAGTCTCTCTCTGCGGCCAGGCTGGAATGCAGTGGCGGATCTCGGCTCAGTACAACCTCCGCCTCCCAGGTTCAAGTGATTCTCCTGCCTCAGCCTCCCGAGTAGCTAGGACTACAGGCACCTACCACCACGCCTGGCTAATTTTTGTATTTTTAGTAGAGACGGGGTTTCACCGTGTTGGCCAGAATGGTCTCAGTCTCCTGGCCTCGTGATCCGCCAGCCTCGACCTACCAAAGTGCTGGGATTACAGGCGAGAGCCACCGCGCCCCGCCCAGGAGAATTCTTAATTGCATAAGACAGCCCCACACATTGCAGGACATGCTGCTGTCCTTGCCCGTGCCCACTAAATTTCATTGGTATCCCAATCATTTTGACAACTACCCCACCTACACACACAGTTACAAAAGTTTTGGGGGTAAGAGGACCAGGAGGAAAATTGCACTGCACATAGTTGAAAAGCTATAGTTAAGTCTTTTCCTTACAACTTGGTGAGAAGCAATGGACTCCGTAACAGTGCCATGGTGGATTATATGTGTCAACATAATTAACAGAAAGAGGATCTCTGAAATATAAGATATTTATCTGGAAATAAAGCATTGCAATGGGAATATGCATGCCATAGTTAACTACATGCATATTCAGGGAGGTGAAGACAAAAGTTTTTAAAGGAAAAAAGGAGGAGGATTACATAATTGTTTTAAAATAATTATCCTTGGCTACAAAGATCAATAACAAGGGTGACACCAGTCCAAGTTTGGACAGGCAAATTCAGGGCAGTTGTTCTTGTAGAACCGTTTTTTTGTGTAAGGTTGCAATGGTGTTTGGGCAATGTTGTGCTTTTTGCAGAGTCTCTGTGATAGTTCTTTTGATCAGGCATTTATTCATGGCCTTCCCCAGCTCCATTTCTCAGGGCTTTCTTTTTTTTTTTTTTTTAACATTAGTGACTTCATTTTGATTCTGACAACTTTCACACATGTGTGTGGTGATGTGAGGTGGGGGCCAGGACATGTCACCCTCAATATACAACGGTAACCTGTCTTTGTAATAATAGTTCACTAATCTTTCCTGAGCACTTATATATTCCGGGCACTAAGCTGTGTATTATATAGTTTACTTAATCCTCACAACCACCTATGAGGTCCCATTTTTTAGGGACGAAATTGAGGCTGAGAAAGTTTCAAGACATTGACCCAAGTTAACACGGCTGCTACAGACAAGGGCAAGATACACCCCCAGGCGTCGGACTTCGCTGCTCTGTGCCGACCTCTTTAACAAGAACAAACATCAAAATTCCCAGTTGGAAGACTCCTATTAAAAACTGTCCTCTCCCATTAATTATAACGTAGAGCAGTTTTGCACAATATATTCTGCATAGTGTTAATTTAGTGGGATGTCAAGTGTTGTGAGATTAACGGTTGCATGGGCGATGGAGTGTGGGAAATGCTTTCAGCAAGGCCCTTGTAGAAGGCCGTGAAACAGAAACCGTGAAGACCACAGGATCCCTAAGGTGGCACAGCCCTTCACAGTGAGTCGGAGTGATTTAGAACATTGCTGAGCAAACAGCAGGGAGACCGGCAACAGGAGCTTGCTGGCCATGAAGTGCCTAATATCCAGTAAGCACTGCTCAGGCTCTAGGAAAAGGCTGATGCAGGAAGGGTTTCTTTCTTCTAATTTCTCAATAATAATAAAAATAGATACTATTTATGGAGTACTAATTACTCTCCACTTCATAGATGAAATACCAAGGCCTAGAAAAATGTGTTAAGTAACTTCTCCTAAGGTCACACAGCTATTTAGTGGCAGAGCCAAATTTGAACCCAGTTCTCTCTAACTTCAAGACATGTGATTGTAAACCCTATACACAAAGTCTCTAAGGACGTAGGGCTTATAAAGGCTTTCCTGTATGAATATCCAAGCAAATTCAGTCTCAAAGAGGATGCCCCTATGGGTTCCCTGTACCAGGGATTTATTTTTGGCATATCTCTTCAACCTGACAATTCGTTCCTTGGTCTGAGTACATGAAATTTTTTTCAGGGTATGTGAATTTTTTTCTTGGTATGTGAAATTTTTTTCTGGTATAATGTAAGTTTCTTAAATTTTACTATTTTTTTAATTTTATAGATTTCTATATGATATGGTTTGGCTCTGTCCCCACCCTAATTTCAAATTGTAGTTCCCATAATCCCCTCATGTTGTGGAAGGGACCTGGTTGGAAGTAATTTAATCACAGGAGGAGGTCTTTCTTGTGCTGTTCTTATGATAATGAATAAGTCTCACAAGAGCTGATGGTTTTATAAATGGGAGTTCCCCTGCACATGTGCTCTCTCTTGCCTGCCGCCATGTAAGACATGACTTTGCTCCTCCTTTGCCTTCCACCATTATTGTGAGGCCTCCCCAGCCATATGGAGCTGTGAGTCCACTAAACTTCTTTCTCTTTATAAATCACCCAGTCTCTGGTATGTCTTTATTAGCAGCGTGGGAACAGACTAATACATCATACCCTGTTACATGCTTTTTTTTTTTTTGATAAGAGTATTTGTGTTGATGCAATAGCATCTTTCTCCATAGAACTTACTCAGATGCCCTTCCTGGAGCCAGTGCCTGCACTCCATGAACTGCTGGAGAGGTCATTGTAGGGTATCGGCATCAGACCTCTCCTCATTTTTCAATTCTCTCTCTCCTTTATAACAGATGTTGGTGCATTTTTTGAAGAAGGGATGTGGCTACGATATAACTTTCAGGCACCAGCAACAAATGCCAGAGACTCCAGCAGCAGAGTAGACAACGCTCCCGACCAGCAGAACTCCCACCCGGACCTGGCACAGGAGGAGATCCGCTTCAGCTTCAGCACCACCAAGGCGCCCTGCATTCTCCTCTACATCAGCTCCTTCACCACAGACTTCTTGGCAGTCCTCGTCAAACCCACTGGTAAGGACAAGGATACCCAGCCTCTGCCATTTAACATTTGGGCAGACAGAATGTTCTAGCAAGAGTCTATAGATTGTTCTTGGTTTGTTATTTATTCCCCATAGGCTTTTTTAAGCAAGTCACATAACTTCTTTGAACCCCATTTCTCTCCATGAATATCAGGAAAACAACTTGCCAGCTGGGTGTGTTAGAGCAAGGTGTTAGAGTAATAATGTTGGTGAGGCATGTTGCGTTCTTTACAAGAATGCTGTTGCATGAATAAGAGATATGTTTGCATGTGTAATGATTATTTTTTCTCCCTACTAAATAAACACATTTGGCTGGACACTGTGGCTCACGCCTGTAATCCCAGCACTTTGGGAGGCCAAGGTGGGCGGATCACTTGAGCTCAAGAATTTGAGACCAGCCTGGCCAATATGGCGAAACCCCATCTCTACAAAAAATACAAAAATTAGCTGGGTGTGATGGCACATGCCTGTAGTCCCAGCTACTCAGGAGGCCAAGATGGGAGGATCACTTGAGCCCAAGATGTCAAGGCTTATAGTGAGCCATGATCGTGCCACTGCACTCCAGGCTGGGCAACAGAGTGAGACCCTGTCTCAAAAGAAAAAAAAGACTAATAAGAAAGACTAATAAAACATAAATACATTCACTAAATGTGCTAAACAGAGATGGGCTTTGAATGAGTAAAATTAATTTTACATAAATTAATTTTATCCTGATTTATGATAGTATACCAGTAGGTTGTTACAGAACATCTGAACTTTCAATAGGAGTAGAAAATCAGAAATGTCTTCATTCCCAATCCTCTCAGAACTTTAAATTCACAAAGTGTATCCCTGTCATAAAGGTTGCTTAAAGCAGGAGTTTATTTTAATTTTTTTTGAAACAGGGTCTTGCTTTGTTGCCCAGGCTTGAGTACAGTAGCAGGATCACAGCTCACTTCAGCCCTAACCTCTCAGGCTCAAGCGATCCTCCCACCTCAGCCTCCCAAGTAGCCGGGATCACAGGCACATACCACCACTCCCAGCTAATTTTTTTAATTATTTGTAGAGTTGGGGGTCTCACGATGTTGCCAGGCCTGGTCTTGAACTCCTGGACTCAAGCGATCCTCCTGCCTTGGCCAAAGTGCTGGGATGACAGGCATGAGCCACCATGCCCGGCCCAGGGGTGTATTTTTACTTGTAATATCCTGGGCCATCTTGGTCGTCAAACACACATTAAGCCAGAGAGGATCTGAGTGCACCTAAAATTGGCATCCTGAGGAGAATATGCAAATGGGCTTGTGACCCTTCAGCAGTGACCTCTGAGAGACATCTAAGAAGCCCTGGAGTGTACAAACTTGCTGAACTTGAGAAGTCCACTTCCTCTCTGAAAATGAACTCATATACCTTAGAATTCTAAGATCACTCTTTTTTTTTTTTTTTTTTTTTTTTGGAGATGGAGTCTCGCTCCATCACCAGGCTGGAGTGCAGTGGCGCAATCTCGGCTCACTGCAACCTCCGCCCCTCGAGTTCAAGCAATTCTCCTGCCTTAACCTCCTGAGTAGCTGTGATTACAGGCCTGCACCACCACGCCTGGCTAATTTTTGTATTTTTAGTAGAGACAGGGTTTCACATGTTGGCCAAGACAATCTCAATCTCTTGACCTCGTGATCCACCTGCCTTGGCCTCCCAAAGTGCTGGGATTACTGGTGTGAACCACTGCGTCAGCCCTAAGATCACTTTTTTAATGAATAAAAATATTTTAAGAGCATGCAGGAACAAATCTCTCTAACTCACTTCCCATTGGAGCCGAAAATATGGAGACTCTCTCTCCCACTGCCCATTGTTTCCTGCCCTTCAGTGATTATTCCACTGTTATGGCATCTTAAAGAGCAAGAATTTTGGCTGGGCACTGTGGCTCATGCCTGTAATCCCAGCACTATGGAAGGCTGAGGCAGGAGGATTGCTTGAGACCAGTAGTTCAAGATTAGCCTAGGCGACATAGCAAGACACCATTTCTACCAAAAATAATTTAAAAATTAACTGGGCATGAAGGTGCACACTTGTGGTCTCAGCTGCTCAAAAGGCTGAGGCAGGATGATTGCTTGAGGCCAGTAGTTCAAGACTAGCCTGGGCAACATAGCAAGACTCCATCTCTACCAAAAATAATTTTAAAATTAACTGGGCATGGTGAGGCACACCTGTGGTCCTAGCTACTAGAAGGCTGAGGGGGGAGGATCGCTGGAGCCCAGAAGTTGCTGGAGCCCAGAAGTGCAAGGCTGCAGTGAGCTATGATCACGCCACTGTACTCCAGCCTGTATAACAGAGCAAGACCCTGTCTCTAAAATAAAATAATTTAAAAAAAAAGAAAAAAGGAGATCAAGATTTTTCCCATGGGAGCTAGAACTGTTATTACTAACTTAATTCAGCTTGAGTTTTAAAAAAACAGTAAATTAAACTCCCTCTCTAGGAAATGCACTGTTGCTTAAAAAGATGGAGGAAAAAGTATGTTCCCTAGTATTTTCCCCTTCTGAAATTATTCCTAAAGAAATAAGCCAAAAGTCAAAGATTCATCATGAAGATGTTCATCATAATGTTTCGTTTTGTTTTTTGAGACGGAGTCTCGCTCTGTCGCCCAGGCCGGAGTGCAGTGGCATGATCTCGGCTCACTGCAAGCTCTGCCTTCCAGGTTCACACCATTCTCCTGCCTCAGCCTCCCGAGTAGCTGGGACTACAGGCGCCTGCCACAACGCCCGGCTAATTTTTTGTAATTTTAGTAGAGATGGGGTTTCACCGTGTTAGCCAGGATGATCTCAATCTCCTGACCTCGTGATCCGCCCGCCTCGGCCTTCCAAAGTGCTGGGATTACAGGCGTGAGCCATCGTGCCTGGCCAACATCATAATGTTAACTATGAAAATAAAAATTGAAAAGAATCTGAAAGTTCAACTTTTAGTAAAATAGTAAAAGAGGGAGTTGCCATTTTATGGAATATTATGTATCTATTAAAATATTTATGAATCGTGATTAATGATATGGGGAAATTTTATGTATGTTAAACCAAAAAAACATGAACAAGATCCAGCCTTGAATGTGAAATATTAGCTCCATAAAAAATATAGGGATAGAAAAAAAAAAGCAATAATGTGAACACAAAAGTGTTTGGTTGGATTGTGGATGATTTTTTTTTCTCCTGAGCAGTACTTTTGTATGCATGTCAAATGCTTTAATCAGAAAGATGAAAACAGTAAGTAAAATCAGAAAGTGAGGATGAAAGAGAGAGAAGTATGGAGCCCCTGGTCTTCAGGAGTTCATCAGTTTATTTCTCCTGGATCAGGGTCAATAGGTTTTTTTGACCCACTGATGTTCACTACCCACATGGACCAGCCTCCCACTGGGCAGATAAGAACCTTGGGTTTCTTCTCAGGTCCCTCCCCAGGAGGAGGGCTCTCACCCAGAGACTGTCAAGAAGTTGGTGAACACATTCCCACACATACTTTTATTGTCTGCTCCTCGAGTCACTGCCACACTAGATTTGGTCCTCAACTGTATTCGCTACCTCACATGCCCACTGCTACACACCCACCGCTGCTGTGCCTTCATCACCTGCCACTGCTGTGCCCTCATGCCTGTGTGAGGACTTTCATTGTCTTCAAGGGCGTTGATCAATGGATTCTGTATTAATGGCCACCATTTAATGAAGCTCACTTTGTGCCCAAAGCCATCCTGAATGGTGCCATGCATTAATTCCCATGAGCTGCACAACTCTATGAAGTAGATACTATTATTATTTCCTTTCTACTGATGGCAACACATGAGTGCATGGAGGTTGAGTGCCTTGCACACTCAGAGGATGTTGGGCCAGGCTGGGGTTTCTCAGCCTGGGTGTCCGATTCCAGACCCAAAGCTCCCCACCGGCTGTACTCTCCAGGGCAGGCATCTCTGGAACTCTCAGTGTTCTTGGAAGGCAAAGCTGGGTGGGTTCTGTCTCACTGTTACAAGACTATCCTCAAACTGCTGGTGAAAATTCAGCTTTTTCAGACTTCAAATACAACATGTTTTTATTATTTGAAGTTTAAAGTTAGAAAAAAAAGGAAATCATTAGGAAAAAACATCAGTAAGGTCTACGCCAAAGTATCAGGAAAAAGCTACTAGAAAGTCTCCACTAAACACCCTGGCATCACTCACATTTCACATATCGAAAGCTCTGCTCACTGTCCTCCAGAACCAGCTGCCCCCAGCACCACCACTGCCCATCAGACACTTGTGTTCCCAAGGTCAGTGTCACTCACCAGTGCTCCGTTCTTCCCTGCTTTTGTGGGTCACCCAGGCAAACAAGTCCTGTGAATTGAACTCATGGTGTCCTTTTCCTCCCCACCACTACTCTCTGAGGCAAATATCTTTTAATTCCCAGTAGTGTTTACGTCATGGTGTCCATAGAAAATTATTATATTTGAATGGTACCAGGGTAAATGGATGAGGTCATGTTTTGGAGGCCACCTGCCCAGTGACTCCAGCTGCCATCCCCTTCTTCATGTCTGCCACGGTGTGAGGGGAGCCTTGCTCCTGGTACCCCATCACCCATCTGTAGGACAGCCGTGGGCTTCAGCTTGTTGGCTGGGAAATTCTCTCCCAATCCATCTCTCTGCTTCCAGATTCTCCCCCTCACCCTTTTTCACCACAGCCAGCACCGCCTGCCTTTATAGGGTGTCTTATTTTCTGTTGCTTGTAACAGAATACGTGAAACTGGGTAATTTATAAAGAAAAGGAATTTATTTCTTATAGTTATGGAGGCTAAGAAGTCTGAGGCCAAAGGGCCAAACCTGGTGAGGGCCTTATTACTGGTGGGAACTCTCTGCAGTTCTGAGACAGTGCAGGGCATGACATGGCGAGGTTAAGCTGCCAGCTCAGGCCTCTCTTCCTCTTCTTATAGACAGTCCCACTCCCATGAGAACCTGTTAATCCATTAACCCATTAATCCATGAATCTATGAATGGATCATTCCATGAATCGATGAATGGATCATTCCATGAATCGATGAATGGATCATTCCATGAATCTATGAATGGATCATTCCATTCATGAGGACAGAGTCCTCATGATCCAATCACCTCTTAAAGGGCTCACCTCTCAATATACCCATATTAGGGATTAAGTTTCAACCTGAGTTTTGGAGGGGATATTCACACCATAGCATAGGGATATTGCTTAAAAGGGATCTTGTATAATGTCTTTATTAAACACTCAGTGGTGCCCCACTCCAGCAAAACCAGGAGAGACTCCTCAGTGCCACAAACTTTTAAGTTTGAGACCCACCAAGCTCATGGGTGAGATGGTGGCCTGTAGAGCTGGACCGTCTGGGTTTGAGGTCGGCTTTGCCTTTTGTCAGTTGTCTTGGGCAATCAGTTGGCAGCTCCATGCCTCTGTTTGCTCATCCATAAAATAGTGTCTCCCTCACAGGAGTGTTGTGAAACTCAAATGACAATATGCATGTGTCAACAGTTATTATTTCCCAGGTCCACGGATTCAATCTACATTCTAACGCATATTCAGCAACCCCTACTCTTCGTTTTGAGAAACTCATTACCCCTCAAGCACTCTGTGGTCATATGTGCACCTGACTTTATGCCTGCAATACTCCCTTACCTAGAAATGCCCCAACTTCCTCTCTAGCCAGACACCTGCCTTTCATTCTAGGCTGAGATCAAGTCCCACCTCCTTTTGATGACTTCTCCTTGCTTTAAACTCCTATTCCACTTACTTTCAATGTCATTTGTTTGGCATTTAATGTACTGTATTGTTATCTGTCTCTGTGATAAATATGCCCTGTCTTCCCAGAGAGATGAAAAGCTCCCAGCACTACATCTCCTGCCTACGATCAGTACCCTGTAAGTGTGTGCTGATGATAATGATGATGACCAGGAGAGAATAAATCTGTTAAGCATGTTATTTGCTGCATCCAATAAAAGAGAAGTCCCTTATAACTGCTTTAATTCACTTGGGAGATGAACATGAGACACAGAAGTGAAGCACCTCAGCATTTGAATAATGTTTTATTTTAATGGACAAATACTAGCATTCTTCCTACCATCATTTAGCGGTCCTCTTCTGCTGTTATCTGAAAGGAATAAATACATCATTTAAATTGGATTATTCAAGAATATCACCATTACTGTTTATAGATAGTCACTATATATAAATTTAAAGTTCCAACTCATCTTTCTTTCTCAAAGCCAATAATTTCTGCTGCCATTAAGTGAAGCAGTTATAGGAATTTAAAATCATATTTACAAAGTCCAAGAAGGACAGAAAAGAAAAAAAAGAGAAAACAATGCTGATTTTAATAGAGCTGAGGAACATAAAGGGGCCAGTGACAAAGTGACAGCAGAGAGGAAAATGTCCAGCGTTTTGCATAATTGCCGGTTCCTCCGACCTCTAGGCCTCTGTGTGTTTGTATCCTCAGAGCCACACACATATTGCCTGACCCATGCCAGGGGATGGGCATGGCTGTATGTGTTATAAGTGGACTCTACACTTGTAACCAGGCAGAAAGCCTATTTTCAGACCTTTAAAAAAAAAAAGCTGTGCTTTGCACAGGAACTAAATATATGTGTTCTGAAGAAATGAATAAGAGATGAATCAAGGCAGCTGTATATTTAAGAAAACTGGCTGGGATGATATGATGTCAGAGCACCAGAAATAAGGCAGAGAGTAAAAACCTAAGACAATCAACGTGTTTTTTCTGCGTGTTGCCAAACAACTGCCTGATCATCTCCGTCATTCCCAAACAATGGACTATTTTAATGCTATTGGGTAAAGGAAAAACCGAGTAAACACTGAGGGGTGGAGAGAGAAGCAGCTCAAGAAGTAGGAGCAGCATATTCAAAGGCCCTGAGGTAGGAGGAGATCGTATTTTCTAGGGAATAAGAGAAGTTCGTGGTAGTTTGAATGTAAAAAGTGACAGTGAGTGGTATGACTTGAAAATAAAGTAGCAGGAGGAATGCACATCAGACAGGGCATTGCAACCGCTATTTGGAAAGTACATCTTTATTCTGTAAAGAATTGGAAGGCTTTGAAGGATTTTAAATGACCCAATAAAATAATCAGTTACACATTTTGAAAACATGGGGAAGAAGACGGTACAGAAGCAGGGAGACTGTATTCATCTGTTCTCACGCTGCTATGAAGAAATACCTGAGACTGGGCAATTTATAAACGAAAGATTTTCATTGACTCGCAGTTCCGCATGGCTGGGGAGGCCTCAGGAAACTTACAGTAATGGTGGAAGGGGAAGCAAGCACGTCCTTCTTCACATGGCGGCAGGAGGGAGAAGTGCAGAGCAAAGGAGGGAAAGGCCCCTTATAAAACCATCCGATCTCATCACAACTCAGTCACTATCATGAGAACAGCACAGAGGTAACCACCCTCATGATTCAGTTACCTCCCACTGGGTCCCTCCCATGGCACATGGGGATTATGGGAACTACAATTTAAGATGACATTTGGATAGGGACACAGCCAAACCATATCAGAGACCATTCAGTCATTTATTCAACAAATATTTATTCCACTCCTACTGTGCATCAGGCACTATTCTAGACATTGGGAATAGTCATAAAGAATAGAAACAAAAATTCTTGCTCTCATGGAGCTTATCTTTGAATAGGAGAAGACAGACAATAAACAAATTGGTACAATCTATAGTATGTTGTGTGCTAAGAACTGTTATGGGGAAAATATGAGGCAGAAAAGGGAGGGCCTGGCCAAGGGGAAGGAGAGGGTAAATTCCACTTTTAATGAGGAAGTCACAGAAATGATCACTGAGAAGAGGACATGAGAGCAAAGACCTGAAGGAGTGAGGGCATAGCCATGCAGAGACCTGGGGAATGAGCATCCTGAACAGAAGAACCGGTGACTGCAAAGGCCCTTGGGTAGGAACAGGAAGCCAATGTGGATGGTGAGGAGTGAGCAAGGAGGAGAGTAACAGGAGGTTAGGTCAGCAATAATGAGGAGATCATATGGGGCCTGGTGAGCCATTGCAAGAAGTTTGATTTTTACTCTGAGACGGGGAGTTACTGGGATTTTGAGCAGAGGATCACTCTGACCACCGTGTGGTGAGGACACTGTGTATCTCAGGGTCAGAGGCCCAGTGGGATCAGGGAAGGTTGGAGAAAGGACAAAAGCTAGTATAATCCCAGCAAAAGACACTGGTGGCTTGGTCCAGGGGGTAGAGATGGAGATGGCGACAAGTGGTAAGATTCAGGGCATATTTTGAAGATCAAGCCAAGAAGACTTGGTGTCAGATGACACATGTCATATAGGAGAAAGAGGACAGTCAAGGCTTTTGGCAAGAATAACTGGAAGGATGAATTGGCAATTCACTGAAATGTGGAAAACTGCAATGGAATACTTTTGGGGAGAGAAGATGGATGTTCTGTTGCATATGTTATGTTTGGGGTTGCCAGTAAGATATCTGAGGGAAAATATCAAGTAGACAGTTTGTGAAAGAGTCTCCTCAATGCCACTGTGTCTCCTCAAATGAATGTGCTGAAAAGTTATTTAACTCACTCTTAGTAAGAAACTACTCCTAGAATTTATTCATTAATTTTCAAATGATAATTTCACACTTCTTGACTGGAATATCATTTTGAAGATTGCTGATAAGTACAGGTGTTTCTGTAGCTTATTAATAAAAATATGCTATTATTAAAAAAAAAGAGTCTGGAGTTCAAGAGAGAAGTCTGACTAGGGTATGAATGTGGTGTCTGATGGGCATACACCTTATTCAAAGGTCCTACATAGGATAGGATTGTTGGAGTAGGTAGGTAGACACACGAGCAGGGCAGAAGAGGGTGCCCCCTCCCACCAACCACCAAGAATGTCAGACAACCATCAGGTGATGGTCAGGCAGTTGCTAAACTGTCTCTCTCTAAAATGATAATTGGCTGCAGCTGGCACCAAGGAACGACCGTCTCCCAATAGATAGAAAACATCTGGAGCTGGTGATCAGCAGCTTCCCAATCAGATCTCAGGAGTTGGGCAAGCGGGCCCAAGCATGCACACTAAGAGGCAAAATGATGGAGTTTAACGGGTATATGACCTTCCTCTAGGAACACTCAACTGGAAAGGGGAAAAAAAATGCCTCAAATGAGCATGCGCACTACTTCAGTAAACACCTGTGCATGCAGCCCCTCCCACGTGCTCGCAGGCCACTGCGCATGCAGACAGCCCGCCCCAAGGGAAGAATCAGGGGAGAAGAAACCAAACCCCAGAACTATGCCAATGTATAAAACCCCAAATCAAGGGCCAAACAGGGCACTTGGATCTCTCAAGTCGCCCGCTTGGCCCTCTTCCAAGTGCACTTCCTTTCTAAAACTTTTTAATAAACTTTCACTCCTGCTCTACTAAAACTTGCCGCAGTCTCTCCCTCTGCCTTAAACCTACTTCTGCCCCTCAAGCCGCATTCTTTCCTCTGAGGAGGCAAGGATCAAGTTTGCTGCAGACCCTTTGGGATTTTCCTTCAGTAACAGGATCACCATGGAAACAGGCCTGAATACAAAAGAGAATATGCTTCAGGGCTGGTCTTTGGGGACTGCAAGAGTAAGGTGCCCCAAAACGAGGGGAAAAACAGGTAGAGAAGGAAAACCGAAAGAGTGTGTGCTGGAAGCCAAGTGTTCCCGGGAGGTGAATGAATTCTGTGCCGAGTGAAGATGAGGCCTGAGAGGGACAATTGCCTCTACTTCCCCAAGGGTCACGGGCCCAGCAAGAGACCGTGGAGCAGGGAAGACAGAAGTGAGACAGAGGGCTCATGCTAAAATAGGGACGGGTTTGGAGGCAGCAAGTGTACCCATCTCTTTTCATGGGGTTCGGAGCAAAGAAAAGCAAAGGATAAGAGGCCTCACTTGAGAGTGAAATGAGGTCAAGAGCAGTAATTTTTAAAGAGGAGGCTGACTAAGACCCACCATCTTCTGCAATCCAGGCAGAAGATGGTGCAGGTAAAGCACAGGTGAGGATGAACCAGGAGCTCTGTGTGGAGCTGCCTCAGCCAGGGAGCAGGCTCCCTCTGGAATTCACACAAGGACACTGTGGGTGCCAACAGAAAGCCTGTGGTTACCGAAGTGGAAAAGAGTGAGGGAATTTAGATAGATTTAGGAGACGAAAATCCAATCCACGGTGCTTAGTTGAAATGCCAGGGGCAAAGGAGTCTAGGATGACATTCTAAGGTAAAACTCAGAAATAGTGAAGGTTTGTTGAATTTCGTTTAGAAAACAAATATAGGAAATGTAATTAGCTCTTGATTATTCTAACAAATGTTCCTTTGAAATCCAGGAACATGGCAAGTGTAATGTTAGGATGCCTAAATAAGGAAGAGCACAGCGTGTGTGTGTGTGTGTGTGTGTGTGTGTGTGTGTGTGTGTGTGTGTGTGTGAAAGTCTGGAAGGAGCTACTCCCAAGATGTTTAGAAAAATTATCTTTGGGTGGTGGGATTTCAGGTGACTTTCTTTTATTTTTTTTCTGTTTACTTTCTATGTTTTAATTAGCATGTTTTATTTTGTAACTTAAAATCAGAATATCAGTTTTGTTCCCCTAAAAAGGAAATGAAAGGTGACAAATAATCCATTAGGTGATTTGCAGTTGGTCAAATTCTTGCTAGATTGCTGGCTCCATTTTTAAGCTCTGAGATATCAACATGAAAATTCCAATTTGAGTAACAAATGAGATAAAATATTGATGTCTTTAAAACTCATAACTAAGATATAATATTTATGCTTGCAGATTAACTAAAAGCAGGATCTACATTGTCATATTAGTTATTTTCAATATTGTTTTTTATTGTTGGGACGAAGCAAGGAGGAAAAAAAGAATATACTGTTGAGGCAAAGTGAACTATCATTGAGGGCAAAAAGGGACTCAGGGGACCAGGGAAAGCCATCTTTCCTGTTGATTTGCATTTGATTAGTCTGTAAGCTAAAATAAAATTTATTACTTGGTCTCAATGAGGCCACCCAAAATCTCATCTTTAAGAACTATGTTTGGCCAGGAGCGTCGGCTCACGCCTGTAATCCCAGCACTTTGGGAGGCTGAGGCTGGCAGATGACGAGGTCCGGAGATCGAGATCATCCTGGCTAATACGGTGAAACCCCGTCTCTACTAAAAATACCAAAAAAAAAATTAGCCCAGCGTGGTAGCGTGCGCCTGTAGTCCCAGCTACTGGGGATGCTGAGACAGGAGAATGGCGTGAACCCGGGAGGCGGAGCTTACAGTGAGCCGAGATCGCGCCACTGCACTCCAGCCTGGGCGACAGAGCGAGACTCTGTTTCAAAAAAAAAAAAAAAACTATGTTTATTTTTAATATTGTATGCTCATGATTCTTTTATATGCCCAATGTCACACTTTGCTGACGGGGTGAGAACATCCCTGCACTCTGCATTTATTTTTTTATTTCACATAGTGTTTCGTGGGACCTGCAGATGTCTCCTCCCTGCAGTCCTATATTGTATATGCTCTCATTCTTTGTGTCCAGGCATAATCCCAACTTGGATCATTTAAACTATTTGCATCTTCAACTTTGAGACGACAGTCACTGAAGTTCACTGTGGGCAGATTGTAAATATGTGCGAGCCTGGTGCTGTCAGCCGATATGGGTCAGTAGGCCTCTGAGCTCGTGAATCCAAATTCAAATATTGAATGTTATCTGTGGACATCAAGGGAGGGAGTAAAGTTTAACAGAAATTGGATGGGCATGGTGGCTCACGCCTGTAATCCCAGCACTTTGGGAGGCTGAGGCGAACGGATAGCCTGAGGTCAGAATTTCGAGACCAGCCTGGCCAGCATGGTGAAACCCCCATCACTACTGAAAATACAAAAATTAGCCAGGCGTGGTGGCAGGTGCCTGTAATGCCAGCTACTCAGGAAGCTGAGGCAGGAGAATCGCTTGAACCTGGGAGGCAGAGGTTGCAGTGAGCCAAGATCGCACCATTGCACTCCAGCCTGGGCAAGAGCAAGACTCCGTCAAAAAAAAGAAAGAAAAGAAAAGAAAGGAAGAAAGAAAGAATCTAAGAGCAGGAATTGAGGGGATGTGACATTAAAATGAAATTTAGGGCAAACAAATTACTGAGCTTTCTTTTTTCTTCTATAGGAAGCTTACAGATTCGATACAACCTGGGTGGCACCCGAGAGCCATACAATATTGACGTAGACCACAGGAACATGGCCAATGGACAGCCCCACAGTGTCAACATCACCCGCCACGAGAAGACCATCTTTCTCAAGGTATACATACATGTACATATAAATTACATATAATATCGCATTATAGTCCCTGTCCCTATAATGCTTGGCCATTGGTTTTGTTTTGAGGGGATAGAAGTAGAAGAGATGCTTTTTACACTTTCTCCTACAAGTGCATAACTAGTGAAGTAGAAATATATATAATTCTGACAAGGAAAGACAATGATGAAGTTGAAGACATCTTTTAGGGGGAAATAGAATAAATGTTTATTCCGTATAGTCTTTCTGGTTTTCCCAGTTCTAGATCCACATATCTATCAATTTACTGCTTTTATCCATTGCACCATCTTTCTTCGCCAAGCTCTCAGACATCTGAAACTTACCGTGTTTCCCAGCAAAGGTTATTTTGGTTTCTCCGACCTACTTCTTTCACTGCTCCAACACAATACAAAGAGCTGTATTTTTCTCTCTCTCTCTGCAGAGCCTTTGTCTTAAAAATCCTCAAAACAGTCTTTCCCCAGAATCTCAGACTCTGACTGTGGGCTTTCGGCACACAAAGGGATGGTTTTATTATGACACTCAAATTTTACTTCAGGTTCATTGACGACCCCGGCCCTCACCACTGATTTTTACAGTGAAGAAACCAGCTTGGGAAACACCATGAATAAAACATAATGTGAGGAGGTCTCCCTGGGAGCTAGGCCAAGACATCAAGGATGGGAACTGTCACTGCATTCTCTAGAAGGAGTTCAAAATAGATGCCTGTCAGGAGAAAGAACAGCAGGAGGATGCTGTTTTGTCAGTAAAGTGGAGTGTCATTTGGCAGGGGTTCAGCAGCCTCTCAGACCTCATTCTGATTCGGCTGGATGCTGTGGGAAGTTCAGGTTGCAAAGAAAAGGCACAAGCCCTATCTCTTTTGAGCACTGGTGGATGTCAGATTCATAACTTGATATGGAGTTTGCGCGTGGCCTTTAGCAGTAAATGCTAGAGGGCATTTTAAGGAGAGGCCTTTCCTAGGAAACTGACATGCACTGTTTCAGCTTACTGCGCCATCAATCAAAGGTGGCATAATAAGGTTCTCTCATCATGGTCGACAGAGTCCCAGAGCCCAGCACAGTACCTGGCACACATTAGGGGTGACAAATTCTTTATGGAGTAAACCAAGCCCATCTTTAACCAAGTTTTAGTCAGAAAAGCCAGCAAGTCCAGGAGACAGATCGTTTTACATCATTTCATCAACATTGTCTCCCTCGGCTTTTGATTAGAGACTTTTTCCATTTTAAGCCACCCAATTTGTCACCTCTTTTAAAGAAAGTGACTTATCTTGCCATTTTACCATTGCGAAATAATACTAAAACTTAAAAAGACCTAAACAATGGCTTTTCAGACAGTATAACAGCAGAGACCCACCACAGCCATAGAATCGTATACAGTTTACCCTCACTCTCTGCCACAGTGAATTAGAGAAAGACTTGAGGAAGGGGAGAGGAGTGGATGATTTTTAAGACTTGGGGCTTTGGAGGCACAGAAAGCCAGAGATATAGACAGTGGAGCAGCCAGAGACCTGCAGAGAATCCAGGGGATGAATGGGTTTGGGGGAGGGTCTGGTTCTATTGCCCAAGACTATTTTGGTTGCAAATGATAGAAAAGCAATTCAGAAGTAATTTGTTGGGGAAAATTCCTAGGGTAGGTCATAGAATTATAGAATTTGAAAAAGATAAAACCAAACTTTGGGAAGAGAATCTAGGGAGCCTGGAGAATTAAAACTGTGGACTAGAATACCACTAGGTTTCTCTCTCCCTTCCTTCCTTCCCTCCCTCTTTTTCATTCTCATCTCTGCCTCTCTCTGAAGACTGGATTAATTACCTCTTACTGCATGCTCCATCTTTCACATATCCTAGGCCATAGTCACAGGAGTACTGGGCTCATGTCTTCCCAATTTTGTTACCGGAAGAAGGGGTCCTAGTTTCTTGACACTCATTTTAAAATCCCAGGGAATCTCTGATAGGCCTGGTTTGAGTCACGTGCTCACCTTGTTGGGTGGAAGGGGGAACAAAGACCCATAGTCCCTAATCACATCTCTTGATTAGAGTGGGGAACTTGGGAAACTCCCTCAAAAGAACAGAATGCAGTTCCAGAAAAAGGAAGGAGATAGGACGACAGGAGTGAAAATTTTGGATGCACGATTCTGAGGTAGGAGAGGAGAAAAACCTGGGAAGTGCTTCCTCGATTCCGCCCTAGGTTCTGCACCTGGAAGTGTTGGGAGATCCAGCTCTCCCTCCTTCTCTGTCATGTAATGTAACTGACTGCAGTAAGATTTCTGAATGTCCCAACCCACGTGAGGGCAACTAGGAAAGATGTCACGGCCTGGGGAGCTCCAATCTCTCAGCCCAGCCTGTCCCATCTACCCTGGGACCTGCCCACCACTGAGGGCAAAAAGAAAGTAAAGATAGAGGTGGTGGAGGAAGACAAGATGTAGTTCCTCCTTATGGAAAAGCAGATCCCAGGGCTTCTCACTCCCATGCCCCACTTTCTTTCATGCAGGGAGGCCTTGCAGACGTGGAAGTAATTCGGAAAGTGCTTTGCAACACCAAATAACACTGCAATTTTTTCTTAAAACAATCTAAAAATCCATCTTGAGAACTTCTACAGCCTCAACTGTGTGTGGAAAGAGATATAATAAAATGTTCACAGTGATCATCTGTGTGTGAAGGGATTATCAATGGTTTGATTTCCTCTAGAGTTTTCTATTTCCCCATTTTCTATTATAAGCACATGCTGCATTTTTATAATCAAACAGAAATATGAAACAGCCATATATTCTCAACCTATTCTGGTAGTCCCCAGTTATAATAACATATGATAACAAAGGCATTTCAATAATTTCAAATTAATATTTATTTATTTATAGTCAAAGAACAAAAATAAGGCTAATGCAAAGATGAATGGTAGATCACAGTGCTGTGGAATGATGTCTTTGGAATTAAGGTGAATGTTGATGCATTTATACATGCTCAAACATATAATTTAGATGATCCTCATCAGTGTTTATGGTGTCTTTAAAAGCAGGTTTACTTTCGTAGCTGGGTTTGGCTAAAGCTAACATTAAATTAATCTGCATTCCCTCAGCACACACCCTGTGAAACAGCACTGAGCACTTGAGGGAAACTGACCTTGGATGAAACATTTGCTGCCAAAAGACAAAGTACCCAGTCTCCACATAGATAACAGGGAACTGACTGTAGTAGTTATCAGACACCAGCGTGAACCAGAACCCATGGCATACCTCCAGTGGCATCATTTGTGAAAACTCACAGTCGCATCAGGGAGAATAGCTTAAGGCTTAATGCCAGTCAAAATATAAACAAACAAGGTGCAGCCAGAGAGCACCTGAAAAAGTCTGGCATGCAGTGAAAAATTATGTCAATTAGCATGAATCCAAAAGCGAAACATTCTAATCAACAATTCCAAAGCCTTGTGCAACTAACCCTTTCTTCTTCCTTTCCTTCCTTCCGTCTTGCCATCCATGTTTCTTTTCCTTCCTATTTTTTCCTTTCTCTCTTCCCAACCACATTGCACAAGGGATCTAAGGGGGTTTACAGGGAGAATATTAAATGAAATAGAGAGTTAATGGAAGTCACAAAAAGTAAGTCCCCAAGATCGAGAAAATAGAACATGATTATCAGGTCACAAGGTCTTACCACTTGGATAAATTTGACTGTGAACTTCTCGGCAGCCAGAAGTATGCAACCCATAAGGATGAACTAAGCCAGTTCCTCTTGAGAATTGAACCTTTTGTTATTATATCATTTTTATTTTATTTAATTCCATGGATTGTATTTACTGACATAGAAAATGCCCATAGCATACTCCACTTATACAACATCACATACACGATAACAGCTCACATGTATTGGTGCTTACTGTGTCCAAGGCAACGTGCTAAGCACTTTAGACACATTTTCTCATTTAGTCATCACAAAAACTTTATGAAGTATGTGCCATCATTATTCCCATCTGATGTGTTTTGGAATGTGTCCCTGTCCAAATCTCATGTCAAATTATAATCCCCAATGTTGAAGGAGGAGCTTGGTGGGAGGTGATTGGACCATGGGGGTGGATTTCCCCCTAGATGTTCTTGTGATAGTGAGTGAGTTCTCATGAGGTCTGGTTGTTTAAAAGTGTGTAGCACCTCCTGCTTTGCCCTCTTCCTCCTTCTCAGGCCATGTAAGACATGCCTGCTACCCCTTTGTCTTCTACTATGATTGTAAGTTTCCTGAGGTCTCCCCAGCCATGCTTCCTGTACAGCCTGTAGAACTGTGAGTCAATTAAACCTCTTTTCTTTATAAATTACCCAGTCTCAGGTAGTTCTTTATAGCAGTGCAAGAATGGACTAATATACCATCTTAGAGATGTGGAAATTAAAGTTCATAAAGTAAGATGCAACCTGCCCAAAGTTAGAAAGCGGTAAATGGCCACAGCATAGTCGAACCCAGGTCCGTCATACTTCAAAGTGTACACAGGCTCTTAACCTTGCTTAATAGACAGATGTCTGGAAGGATGTTCACAAAATTTTAGAAGCAGATACCTCTGGCTGGTAAGAAATTAAGTGATGTTACTGTTATTACCATAAGATAGTTCAAAATATGCAAAAACACAGAGAATAATAAACCATATGCTATGTACCCACCATTGAAACATTACAAATTTCGACATTTTGCCCTATTTCTTCAGATTTTTTTAAACACAGCAACAATTAAGAGTCTGTTGTCCTCCTGGTTACATAGTGGGCCCCAATAAAAGTCAGAGTCAATGCCCTCAGCAGCATTTCTGCAAATGTATTTGTTACAAGGCTGTTAGATGCTGAAGCTCCTTGGGAAAGTAAAGCTTCCCATTTTGAATTCAGCCCAAACAAGTCTGTAGAGAGTGAGGTAGAGCAGGATGATGGACAGATGAAGAGGCCAAAGGCTGAGATGATGCAGCTTTCTGAAATTTTGAACTGATCCTAGGATAAAACTAGCTGGAAAATGATAATGAATAAACTACATGTTCTTTGAATAATTATCCATGACAATCACACATTTTTGGGTTTAGATGTGAGTTAGACAATAGAGAGTTCAGGGATATATTCTCTGGCACAGATACTCGGAATCCATATTCTCTACAAATCAAATGAACAGATGGTAAGGATGTATCATTTTGGCTTTCATCTAACTAGAGGGCCATCTTATCTTTGCCAAGAAGAAGCTAACAGATTTTCTGCAAGCAAAATAAGGCCTTTCTTAGAAAATAATTCTAGGTCCTCAGGAACAAATGATGATTAGATCCCCAAGTTCTTACACCAAAAAGAGGATGACTTTGATTATTTTCACTGGGAATTTTCAAAACAAATGTTCAAAAATATCACTGAATTCTGTTCTTTAAAATAATATAAGCACGGTAATTTCTTACCTGCTACTAATCTGAATTTCAACCAAATTGTATAAAAACAATTGCATCAATTGTTAATTGAACTAGGTCCTGTATATAAATCTTAAGAACTGTCAGAGAAGTGTCAAAAACATTAGCAACATGTAGTGTGCTAGGTGCTAGAAGTAGAAGAAAGGATACAAATATTAGGATGATGCCAGTTGCTATACAAATTAGCCCTCAAATGTCCATGTTTTAACCCAATAAAAGTCTGTCTTACATCAGATATATTTTCAGAAAAGGAAAGTTCTCTGGTCTCCAGCAGTGATGAAATTGTGCTGGGCAGGCACTCTGAGGACCTGCCACTGCCACCAACTTCCCTGCTTCCCCAACCCTGGATTAGGCCAAATTATTGTCCATTATTCTTGAAGCCCTCCTGGGCTCCATCCTCTGGGAGGCTCTTCCTTGTGTGTGTTCAGCCATGGCCTCCCCTGAATTATGTGCCGGATAATGTGCTCCTTACAGCTGTGCAGCAATTATTTTTTTTTTTTTTTTTTTGAGACGGAGTCTTGCTCTGTCACCAGGCTGGAGTGCAGCGGCACGATCTTGGCTCATTGCAACTTCCACCTCCCGGGTTCAAGTGAATCTCCTGTGTCAGTCTCCCAAGTAGCTGGGAGTACAGGCGTGTGCCACCACGCCCAGCTAATTTTTTGTAATTTTAGTAGAGACAGGGTTTCACTGTGTTAGCCAGGATGGTCTCGATCTCCTGACCTCGTGATCCACCCTCCTTGGCCTCCCAAAGTGCTGGAATTACAGGTGTGAGCCACCGCGCCTGGCTACAGCTGTGCAGCTTTAAGGCCCATTTCCTGCAGGTTCAAATTACACTAAGGGTTTTTTACACTCATAAGCCTTTTGTGGACTAGATCTGTGCTTTCTTTTCCAATACAATTCCCTCAAAACCCAAGGTGGCTTCTGATCAATTTGCTTCTGGTAAGTTTCATGTGCTGGTAAATGCACCCTAAGCTCTTCCCTAGACATCAATCTTAGACTTACTCAATCATTTGCCTCCAGGCGCCCATGCCTCTCTCTCTCAAGGTAATGGCAGCTACTTTGGGGCCAGTGGACACAAAAGGCTTGGGTGGGAAGTAAAGACCCTTAATTTAAATGTTACCCGTGAGGCTAAGTCAGTTTGCTAAACAGAAATCTTACTGCCCCATTGTTGGTCAAAGCGGTTTGCAGTGTTATTTCTTACTCTCTAGTGTAAGGCTCTAAATATCTAGACTTTTTTCTATTCTTTTCATTGATTATTGGGAACTGGTCAATTCTTTCCTGAACTCATCTGCTCCATGACATGAGGAGCAAAAAGCAACTGACACACACGACCATTCTGTCTCTTTTGAAGAACTTTCCTTAAAGCTACTTAGGCATTTAGTCTGCCTTCCAGGTTATGTGAGGTGACAGTTTTACAAAATATTTTATTGCATACTATATTAGTCTGTCTTGCACTGCTATAAAGAAATACCTGAGACTGAGTAATTCATAAAGAAAAAAAAGGTTTAGTTGGCTCACAGTTCTGCAGGCTGTACAAGACGCATAGCAGCTTCTGCTTCTGGGGAGACCTCAGGAAGCTTAGATGGCAGACAGCAAAGGGAAAGTAGGCTTGTCTTACATGGCAGGAGCAGGACTGAGAGAGAGTGAAGGTGCTACGCACTTTCAAACAACCAGATCTCATGAGAACTCACATATTATCAGGAGAACAGCACCAAGAGGGTGGTGCTAAACCGTTCATAGAGCTCTGCTTCCATGATCCCATCAACTCCCACCATGACCTCATTTTGGACACTGGGAATTACAACTCAACATGAGATTTGAGCAGGGACACATATCCAAACCATATCACATACCATTCTTCCTCTGTCTTTCAAGTCCCTAATATTCATTCCTGCACCACCTGCCACCTTACCACAAAGCCAATGCTACATGTGTTAGGTTTCTGTTATAGCAGCACCCTGCCTTAAGATACCAATGTATGTATTCGTTAGGGTTGTATTCGCTGCTATAACAAAAAATCAGAGGCTTAATACAAATAACTTTCTTTCCCACATAATAGTAAAATGATTTCTAGTTGGAAATCGTAAGCAATATATAAATAGGCTGATAAAAAAGGTGTTTGTACTAATGTCCAAAAATAATAGAGTAAAAGACATTGTGGTTCTATGCTATAACTATAAGGCTTTGAAGGAAGGATAAGATGTTAACCTGTGAATGGGGGGCAAGAGAGGACATGGAAGAATATTTATTATGGAAGAGGGAGAAGGAGAGGGAAGATGTGTGTTCCAAAAGAGAACATGATGTTAAACAAAGATGCTAGCAGAGTGACTATTTCATAGATTTCATCCTGTCTCTATCTCATGAATAGAAAAGACCACTGGAGAAGACTCAGTAAAAAGTCTTACCTGGAGAAATTCTCACTCTGAAATATGTAACATCAAATGGTCTGAAGTCATTTATGAATATTGAATGCTGTAAAGTCAGTAGTCTGAGGCACATGCAGAGTGGTGTCAAAAATTGTTGGAAGAATTTTATCAGCAGCAAAATGAGAGTAATTCAATTATGGACTCCTAGGGCAGCACCAAATGTTAATTGACGTGAAACATTGGTGGCCGGGGGAGCCCTAGTTCACCACTTTCTATATGTGGAAAAGTGTACAATTGTAAGGACTTTCACATAACCTCCTCAAGCCCAGAGAAAAATCTCTGTAGACTTGAGAGGGCCTTAATGATCATGTTAGGTAGTGCTCAAAGCCCTTTCTTACATATCGAAATGCTTGCCCACATTGCCATTCTCAGCCTTATGAACTGGAAATAGCTGGTGCTATTAGTCCCATTATATACATGAGAAAACAGAGATTAAGAAGTCCCAGGCCAGGCGCGGTGGCTCACGCCTGTAATCCCAGCACTTCGGGAGGCCGAGGCGGGTGGATCATGATGTCAAGAGATCGAGACCATCCTGACCAACATGGTGAAACCCCATCTCTACTAAAAATACAAAAATTAGCTGGACATGGGGGTGCACGCCTGTAGTCCCAGCTACTCAGGGGGCTGAGACAGGAGAATCGCTTGAACCCGGGAGGCAGAGGTTGCAGTGAGCTGAGATCGTGCCACTGCACTCCAGCCTGGTGACAGAGCGAAACTCCATCTCAAAAAAAAAGAAGTCCCAATGATGAATAAGGTCCCAGTGCTCACAAGAGACATGATCTTCTCTAGAACCCAGCTAACCAGACCCCGTTTCCCCACTTAGTTTGCTCTTTGTTGTCTTTGCAAGTGGGCAAGAGAAGCAAGCTCACTCCTGTTCATTTGCCTTATAAACTTTTGAAATTTTTTAAAAATGTTTACGCAAAATTAAGTCTTTTGAGGATTTGTGTTTTCTTTGGAGTCACTAAAAGCAATGACTTTATAGCGTTTCGTAGGGGGTCATAAAACCCTAATTTTTATAATCAAAGAGAACTACAAGGTCCAACGTTAAGGCTAGTGTTTTTACAGCACACAGTATCATACACCCATAAAAATTCCATCTCATTCTTTAAGTAAATATGAACATAACCTCTTGTCTGTCCATTTTAGGATCCTTCTTTTCTGTAGAAACATGGAGCCCAGACTGAAATTAGATACTGAAGCTCAAATAAATTATTTAAAAATGTGTGCCTTTATTACCCTTGAACTTTCTGCCAATAAAGAACAATACTAACAAGCATATGGATGTAAACACTCCTAAAAATTTTACTATCAGAAGTTGTTCATGCCTTTATTAAGGAAAATAACACAGTTTGGAAGCACTAAATTTTTTAGGGATGTCAGAACAAATAAAGAAAGTTGACCTAGCTAGCCTAGGGCACTGCTCTTGAAATTACATTTACTGTAACTCCTTCCCTTTGGCTAATTTAGTTTTTATCTACTCTGGATGATAAACTCACAGCCTGGGTTGTGCAATACAAGCATGCTTGACAGAAGGCAGGCAATTGCAAGAATAATGATGAGCCATTTGAACACTCTGGCTTCTTCCCTTCCAGAAGAACTTTTACCTATTATAGCACTGGCTCTCTATTGGGATTCTTAGCAAGTGTATTAGCACTTAACTTTCCACTTTAATGAACGACTGACATGTATAATTCTATGGAGAGCATAGGCCAATATTTTATTAGTTTCTGATAGTATTACAATGGTTTGAGTCTATTGAACTGATATAGAAGATCTATGGGAAGAGAAGAGAGAGGGCTACATATATTGGGAAGTTGCCCATTAATTTGGTCTGTATATGAGTCAGAATTCATTTTTTCTTCTATATTTCTATGTATCCAGAGAAGCCTGTTCATGATTGAGAGACACATCAAAAACCTCATGACCTCATTAGCTTTTGTAATGTCGCCTCTGGTTTTGGGTTGAGCTATGGCTCCTCGGCCCCTGAGAAAGTATTTGAGCACGTTTTCATTATTTGGTTCAGAAAGTAGCAGTATTTGACAAAATGTTTCTGAAAAGAGGAAACAAGATGCCCAACTACCAGAGCCTCAGATTCCTCTCCCTCCCAGTACCTTCAAACCAGCTTGAAGTTTTAAACTCAGGCCACCTCCACACTGAGAGGTCTGGCCAGCCCGTATGCAAGGACATGGTTCCTAGGAGTGTGGTGGAGGCGTGTGGTGAAGATCCTGCTGAAGAAGACAGAAGGTTCTCAAGATGTCCAGGACTCTTCTGTTATCAATGTACTTCTCTTCTACTTAAAGCCACATGGGGTCCCTAAGAATTTAACATGATGATATCTAATTGACATTCTCTCTTACCCCTGCCTACCACTAAACCCACCACATGGTGAGAAAGTTCCAAACAGCAATCGTTTCTGAAGCCTGATTTGGATAAAACCAGATGGTCACCAAAACCATTCCATTAGGCCATTTACTGATGTGGAATGCAATTAAAATTGATTCCACTTTAATCAAAATAACTTTGAGGAGAACAAATATGTGCTGAGTATCTACAATATAAAAGAAATTTGGATAGATAATGATGAGTTGGTGGAACAGTAGGTGACTCATACAGGGATGAATAAAATGTATCTTTTACAACTCAAGGAGTTTATATTCTGGGAGGGGAGAAAAGATGTGTCCAGTCACTAGGCATTTTGTCAGATAATAGAAACCTGTTCCACCTACTTCTCCTCTAGAAGACAGTTTGACAAGTCTCCTTATCAACATGTAAATAATAAAAAGGGTATCCAGCAAAAGAGAATATTAGCAGTTTGGGGTGGTGATAAGGACACAGCACGTAACGAGATTTCCCCTTGAGGACAATGTCAGTGTAAACAGAGACCCCACGGATTACAAACTGTTGAATTCAGAGGTTATTATTAAGACATAAATTTAAAAGGGTCTTTATTGATAGGCTACCTTACTATATTAGGGCTCTCTAGCAGGACAGAACTAATAGGATAGATGCATATATAAAGGGGAGTGTATTAAGGAATATTGACTCACACGATCACAAGCTGAGATCCCACAGTAGACCGTCTACAAGCTGAGGACCAAGGAAGCCAGTCAGATTCCTAAAACCTCAAAAGTAGGGAAGCCAACAGTACAGCCTTCAGTCTGTGGTCGAAGGTCCAAGAGTACCAAAGCTGACGAATTTGGAGTCCAATGTTTGAGGGCAGGAAGCATCCCAGCATGGGAGAAAGATGAAGGCCAGAAGATGCAGCCAGTCCAGTCCTTCCACGTTCCCCTACCTGCTTTTATCCTAGCTGCACTGGCAGCTGATTAGATGGTGCCCACCCAGATTGAGGGTGGGTCTGCCTTTCCCAGTCTACTGACTCAAATGGTAATCTCCTCTGGCAACACCCTCACAGACACACCCAGGAACAATACTTTGCATCCTTCAATTCAACCAAGTTGACAGTCAGTATTAACCATCACACTTACTTAATAGCTCTGTGTTCTCTAGCAAGTTAATGAAATCTCTGTTGACTTAATTTCTAAAATTGGAGTAAGTCCATCTTTTCTAATGCAGTTTGTGTATGTTAAATGGAAATACAAAAAAAAATCTAGCATAGTCTATGACCCAATAAAACGGTAGTTTTCTTCCTTCATTCCCAATTCCCTTCTCTTTCTTAAAAGCAAAAAATAAAATAGCAGATGTCAGGATCAGTACCAACAGGCTCTTTGGGACTATGGTTTCTTTCCATTGATTTGTAGTTCAACCCATTAAGCATATTCTCAGCACCTAGTATATTCCCAGCATGCAGCATGGCTGTTGCCTCCATGAGCCCAGTCCAGTAGAAGAAAGACCATCAGTCATACAGATATGAACCAAGTGCCCATTGAAGTATAAGCTTGTGCTGTGGGAGCACAGAAAAGTAGGGGAATGAATAATCCTGAGGAGGAAAGAGTGGATCAGAGCAGTCTCACAAAGGCATTTGAGCTGTTCCTTCAAGGTTTCCATGGTGGAGGGGGGAGGATCACATTAGCTTATTTATTTTTTACTACAGAGATTCAACATTTGCCCTTCATAAAAATTATACAGAAAATATGTTAAGAAAATAAGTTCTAAGCCATCAAGCCCATCTGATCTGAAACAGAAAAAGACTCATAATGAATATGTCAACACTTCCACATTTTTCATTTGTTTTCTAAAGCAATTTCATCTGCAAATGAATTATGCACTCCAGGGCTAGACAGTACCTCCATTCCTACACTCCAGAAAAATGTGTTTACTTCGTTTTACATTTCATGCAGCTCAGTGGGAAGGCAGTTGCAATGCAATTTCTGATCCAGTTTAGGGTTTGAGATGTCAGTCCTCTCTTTCTTTCTCCAGAATACGGCTAAAGCTTGTAAGACCAAGGTTGGGAGTTCACTTTTTTTTCCTCCAAGTGCATTAAATACATAAATCACCTCTCAAGAAAGAACATAAGGTTCCTGGATTTCTATTTTGTCTGGCATGAAAACTAAAGTCCAATCTGCAAAGCATCATACTGTTATATCCATCTGCAGTGCACTAAAATCACTCTCAAAGATTGTAACTCTTGGAGCAAATTTTTAGCACAATGGGCAGAGCGGGTTGTTTCTTGCCCAGGTAACTGAAGCAGGTTCTTATCTCACCTAAATTCATCTTCTGTCTGAAAAGTAAGTGTATCTCAACATGCGGTTTGAGGTTCTGAAGGGTTCCACGCTGCCCTTCCACTCAGGCAGGGAGAAGTCAGTCCTGGGATTGAGTCTGAAGATTTTGATGGACATGGTCCTGGAGCGAGTTCGGAGCTAGTGTTAAAATGCCCTCTAGTGGTCATTAGCTGTAACCAGTGAGCGTAGGGAAGGGAAAATCTTGTGAAACTGGCTTGGGTGTGGTTTTCTATAAACACCGACCAAAACCAGAGTCCTAGGTTATAGCGCGGGTTACTTGCATCTGTCGCGGATACCGCGATGGCGGTAGGACTTGGTATTACTTATAGAAATGGAAGCTTGCCGTTGCATTCAAAGGGTACAATCCAGGGATTTTTCTTACGCTTTCACATCTCACTGCTCTGTCCCTGAGCCCTGGGCACACACGAGAGTTTCAAGAAGTGTTGACTGAGTGACTGAATACGTGAAGGAATCCAGTTTATGAATCATGGATTCTGTGCACATTCAATGAGCTTGGCTATTTGAAAGTGCACAAATTCTTCCTGCTTTCTGAAGTATTAAATATATTTGATTTGCATCCTTTCCCCAGTGGTCGCTTGGTGAGCTAATAATTGCCTTTCCTCTTATATCTTTGAGCTGAGGAAATATAATCAAAATGTTAAGGAGAGGGGCAACAAACCCCCCCTTTGTGGGTAGAAGAGAAGGTCTGGGCTGGCAGCTCAAGAGAAAAGATGAAGAAAGGACATCCAAAAAGAAGTGGAAGTCAGAGAATGAATAAAACACATGAGCGAATGGCTGCCATCCTATCCGAGCATCCTTCCTGATATTGTCACCCAGGGCCACCAGCAGAGGTTACATGGTGAGAACAGACAGTAGAAATCAGCCCACTCCACCGATCTGACTCCTGGTCTCCTGGGGAAATGGCATTAGGATCTAGGTTACCAACATCATAGCTTCTGCCAGGGCTTGTGTGCTTAACCCCAACAGTGGAACACCACAAATGCACAGGGGCAGTAGCCTCCAACATCCTGACCATCTCTGAGAACCTGTCCTGCTAGCAGAGGGGACAGAGGCTGTACAAATCAGAAAGTTGACGTATTAGTCCATTTTCACGCTGCTGATAAAGACGTACCTGAGACTGCGTAATTTACAAAAGAAAAGGGTTTAATGGAAAAGTCACGGTTCCACATGGCTGGGGAAGTCTCACAATCATGGTGGAAGGCAAGGAGGAGCAAGTCACATCTTACGTGGATGGAGGCAGGCAAGAGAGAGAGCGCTTGTGGAGGGGAATGCCTCTTTTTAAACCCGTCAGATCTCGTGAGACTTATTCACTATCACAAGAACAGCATGAGAAAGACTGGCCCCCATGATTCGATTACTTCCCACCAGGTCTCTCCCACAACACTTGGGAATTCAAAATGAGATTTGGGTAGAGACACAGCCAAACCATATCAATGGATAAAAGGAAATGTAATGTCAACTAAAGACAAAAAAAAAAGAAAAAAGAAAAAAAAAACTTTTGAAGAATTAAAGTTGGTTTTATTTAGAAGTCTTATTGGGGACTGTAGACTGAGGCCTACAACCCACAAGCAGTCTTTTACAGAGGTTTTATGAGACTGCGCCAGCACAGTATTTTAGCCCACTGTGTATATATAGGTGCTAGGGGTTTAGCATGTGCAAAGTTATATGAAACTTGTTTAGACATTATATTAAAGTAGAACTACGTTAAGGTTTGGGTGTAAGGGTATATCTGGTTCTAGATTATAGAAGTGTCATCACTAATCTCCCCAGATGTTATTTTATGCGTAGGAGAAGGTAAGGACTAGGTTCATTTGTCTTTTAAGGAATATAGTGACTTAGGTAGGAGAGATGGGGGCCAGGTGTTCTGTTTTATTTTGTCGTTTTGGAGAGCTGTATGTCATCACAGAGTTGGGGCTTTGTGAAATTATGTTGGCACAGAGACAAGCAAACTTAGCTGCTTATGTATGTGATTTTGTCTCACAAGTTCTCTCTTTAGGTCACAAATTAACTCTGGCCATATTTATAAAAACAATATTGATTGTGTTATGTAGCTGAGAAGGCTGTTTTTTAGGAAGGTTGGTAATCTTTAGTTGTAGTTGTAAGGAATGAGTATTGAGCCCAGTGTGTATATTTATTTATTCATTGGAAAATATGTTTTGGATTATATTTATGTTTTAATTACTAGGATTTGTTAGGGTTTTTGATGTTGCCTTTTTGGGGGTTTTGTGTGTGTGTGTTTTGGGTTTTTTTTTTTTTCAATACAGGGTTTCACTCTGTCCCCCAGGCTGGAGTGTAGTGGCATGATCTCAGCTCACTGCAGCCTCCGCCTCCTGGGCTCAAGCGATCCTCCTGCCTCAGCCTCCCGAGTAGCTGGGACCACAGGCATGAGCCACCACACCCGGCTAATTTTTGTATTTTTTGTAGAGATGGGGTTTCACCATGTTGCCTAGGCTGGTCTCAAACTCCTGAGCTCAGGCAATCTGCCCACCTCAGCTTCCCAAAGTGCAGGGGTTACAGGCATGAGCCACCATGCCAGGCTGTTGCCTTTTTTTTTAATCTAATATAACATTTTAATAGGACATTATAAGGATATTATAGATTACATATAGTAGTCTATATTTAATAGTAATATGATTTATAGATTTTGAAAAAATAAAACCAATAAAATCAGAATATGCATTTGTATTTTTTTACTAATTGTACCTTTTGTATTTATATTTACTAGTATTTTTTATGAAAAGCAATTTTGGACTGGAGTTGATTGAGAATACTTTTAGAGAAGAATTTGGAATAACAACTGGGTTGTCTTGTGCATTTCCTGTGGGCATGATGCCAGCCTTGCTCTTCTATGGCAAAGGATACAGGTTGGCACATGGAGGAGCTTGGCCTCTGCAAGCCCACAGACCTCTGGGCTAGCTACTCAGCAACTATGTGTCCTCTAGACACAGTAACTTAATCTCTGTGCCTCAGTTTCCTCAACTGTAACATGGGGCGAATAAGAGTATGTGCCGACAGAGTTGTGTGCAATTAAAAAAATAATATGTGTAAAGTACTTATGGTGGGATCCCACCTGCAGTTCGCCTCCAGGAAATGTTAGATGCTGATGTGGAGGAGGATGAAGGGGAGGACCAGATGTTTTTCCTGCTGCTGGCATATTCTGCGCGCTGCTCTTCCTTCTCCCAAATCCTTTCAGCAGCATTTTCTTTCTTCCCGAGATTGCCAAGGGAACCCAGGCAGAATGCCAGGAACTAAACCTCTCTGGAAGATTGACGGAAGAAGAGCTGGGATTTGAGCAAGATAGAGCGGGCTCAGGGTCACCATGAGGTTCAAGGTCTGCAGACTCCCCCAAGCTTTCTCTCGAGTAGATTTGAACACACAATCCAAGTCCAAATCCAAATTTAATAGGCTTCTGTACTGAGAATTCAGCTCAGCCAATTGTGTTAGAGCCTTAATGCACATGGGTACACACACACACACACTCAGTGCACACAATGAGCACTCGTACAGGGCCGGGTCACAAAAGAAGCGAATGTCCATCATCTCCCTTCACTTCCCCTGGTCTTTTCTAGTCTCCATTCCTCACCATTTCTACTGAATTCTCCCATCCCTCTCCACCTTCTACTTCTGGAACGAGCTCCAAACATAGCATTAAAAAGCTTCAGTGTTTCCAGGGAACAGAGCATTGCTGCTTTCCATAAACTGGCAGAACTGGTCGTTAAATGGAACTTTCAGGCATTCCCCCACATTCTGAAGTCACTCTCTATGTAATGATCTTCCTGATACACCTTTCTGCTCTTTCACCTGGAAAAGAATTTGAAGGATGTGGTTATCAGTCCTCTGATGATGCCAATGTTTCGACTCCATCCTGAATATTGTTATTGCTGCCAAAACCTACTGGTAAAGTAATATCAATAGAGCCACCGTACTAAAAAGGA